>NC_000011.10:32787272-32938787 GCF_000001405.40 Homo sapiens | reverse complement strand
TACTTTATAATTATTTTATCACAAACTTTACTAGAAAACTTTATTATTTTAGAGCAAGGAATATGCCCTTTAGGCATCTGAATAATTTAAAGTCAAAAAACAGGAGGAAACAGGTGCAACTAAAGACATCTTCATATGCTCAGAATGGCTACAGCAGTCCACAAAAAACTAACAGCAAGCCTATGTTCCAGAAAATATTACAAGTATTTGGAAACTAGCATCAGTGGAAGATATACTCACGTTTAAGTTATTTACCATGGAACTGTGAAATGTGGAGTACCACAGGCTCATCATATATCTCTGTGACTTCATTTAAACTGTTTGGGACTGTGCAACCTATGTGCAAAAGTCAGAATTCTACTCACAAAATTAAAATCAAAACCTGGCTACTTTAACTCACGATCACCTCAATGTTCTACTTTTCTTTTACATACCCTCACTCATTATTTGAGTACCTGCTACACTTCAGGTCTTGCAAATACAAAGATGATTGCAGTATAATAACTACAATTAATGACTCAGGTTGTGCATGACGTTCTTTATGTCCCTGAGTCCTCTCAAAAACCTGAGAGGTTACTATATACTGACTGTATCACCATGTCCCATTTTACAGATGAGGAACATGCCCTAAAGTCACAGCACTATGATTCTAGAATTTGAACCCAAGGTGATTTAACTCTAAAGCCTAAATTCTCAACCATAACCCTTCACTAGCTTGAAGGAACTCACTTTCTAATGAAATATACAAATGTAAATGAACACATTAAAACACAAAAGTAAATGCTTTCATTGAAATTTAAGAGCTGTGGGAATTCAAAGGATAGGAGCACTAATTCTGTCTGGAATAATGTCTACAACATGACTTTGAAAATAGTCTTTAAAGATCAATAAGTATCTTCTAGACTAAAAACTGGAGAAGAGAGTAGTCTACAAAGAGAAAAATGTGTTCAAAGGTTCACAACTGTAGAAGGGGGAGAGACATCCAAGAAACAATGAAAAATTCAATTGTCACAGCAGAGGGACAGTGGAAAGAGAGTAAAACATGGAAAAAGGAATTTTTACATATAATCTTTATTTTTCCCATGAAGCACAGAGGTGTTTTGAAATAGAAGTAACAATCAGCTTTCCTTTTTTATAAAGTTGAATCTGTTGACAATGTGGAGGATGGACTGGCATAGAGACTGGCGAGAAAAAATTCTAGGCCAGGCGCAGTGGCTCATGCCTATAATCCCAGCACTTTGGGAGGCCAAGGTGGGAGGACTGCTCGAGGCCAGGAGTTCAAGACCAGCCTGGGCAATACAGCAAGATCCCATCTCTACAACAGATTAAAAAAAAATTAGCCAGGCATGGTGGCATGTGCCTATAGTCCCAGTTGCTCAGGAGGCTGAGGAAGGAAGATTGCCTGGGCCCAGGAGTTTGAGGTTTCAATGTGCCAAGATCACACCACTGTACTCCAGCCTGGGTGACAGAGCAAGACTCTGTCTCTTAAAATAATAAAAAAAGAAAAAAAAGAAAAGTCTGTAATGAGTAATCAGTTGCAATAGTCCAAGTGACAAATGATAGCTTTTTTCAGATGAGGCAACAGGGATGGTGATAAGACAACTTCAAAGACCTAATAGTAAGGATCGGGTTTATGATGATGATTTTAACTAAAAATGAGATAACATATCTCTGGAAGAAACTAGTTTTAGACTCATGTTTTAGAACAGAGATTTCAAAAGGTTCATTCTGGGAATGTAAGAGGGAATATAATAGCGATTGCAAAGCACTCTGAACTGGGTGAGACGTTATAAAACCATATTAGGATTAGACACATCCATGGTAGTAATGTCTTTGAATCTGAGACTGACTTTCTATCATGTTAATTTCCCTGTGTAATGAAATGAGAATTCTTTAGAAATGTATTATCAGATATTTATGCTAACAGGTTATTTGGATACCAGCTGTCTCGTAACACTTTAGTAGTTAAAGGTAGTCAAGTCCAGAGAGAAGCTGGGAAGTATGTTACAAAACAAGGTTTAAGTCTTAAAGCACCACCCTATTTATCCTAAAGAGCTGAGAAAGAATGTAGGCTCTAGAACCAGAAAAACCTGGGTTCAGATTCCAGCTCTGTCACTTACTAGAGGTATGGGCCCACATAATTCATTTATTCTCAGTTATATCATCTGTATATTGGAGATAACAATGTGTATCTCACAACATTGCTACTAGTTCCTGGCACAGAGGTGGTAGTTATATTATTGTTACAAATAAATTTTTCCTTGGCATGTTTCTTACAATAGAAAATACCATACTTACTGCCAATTGTTTACATAAGTCATTGCTTCTTAAAATATGCCAAATGTCCAACAATGATAGACTGGATTAAGAAAATGTGGCACATATACACCATGGAATACTATGCAGCCATAAAAAAGGATGAGTTCATGTCCTTTGTAGGGACATGGATGAAGCTGGAAACCATGATTCTCAGCAAACTATTGCAAGGACAAAAAACCAAACACCACGTGTTCTCACTCAGGTGGGAATTGAACAATGAGAACACATGGGCACAGGAAGGGGAACATCACACACCAGGGCCTGTTGTGGGCTGGAGGGAGGGGGGAGGGACAGCATTAGGAGATATACCTAATGTTAAATAACGAGTTATGGGTGCAGCCCACCAACATGGCACATGTATACATATGTAACTAACCTGCACGTTGTGCACATGTACCCTAAAACTTAAAGTATAAAAAAAAAAATTTCCTCTAAAGCTCCCTTAGCCACAGAGTAAAGTGAAACACATACCCAAAGATTTGGGTATATAATCTGAAGCCAGCATAAAATTTTTAAGTTTTATCTTAATTATATTAGTGTGCATGCTGCACATAACCACATTTAATGGTTCAGATTTTAACTCTATAACATCCCTGTTGCCTCATCTGAAAAAAGCTATCATTTGTCACCTGGACTATTGCAACATATTTAAACATAACCATATTTAATAATAAAATGTTAATCTTCAGATAAAATTGGCAAACTAAGAAAATGTACCAGGTTTATACTACAGCAATGCCCACAATACAGTGCCTCAATTACCTCAAGATGTCTCAGATTAGATGGCATACTGTACAGATTATGCTGCCTTTGGCAAAAAGCCAAGAAAAAGCAGAACTACTTAACCTAAAACATAGACCTTTCCTATAGGCAAGAAAAATTTAAAAAATAAGTCCTTAAGATACCTACCTATACATTTTGTCCTGAAAATGTACTTGCAGACCTGCTTTAAGTGAAAAAAGCTTAAAATGTGGGCTATAGCTGGAAAAATAGAAGAAAGTAATAATTATGAATCTAAATTGTAAAACTTTACCTGTTTTCTTCTTTTTATCAGAAGTAGCATCCAAAGTAGTTAAGGGAGTAGAGACGCTTTTATAAGCATCTTGACTATATCCAGGATCATCTTCATCAGAAGAAAATGAAGATAAATGTTCCAAGTTTTTAAGTTCATTATCAACTTTATCTGATGGACTGTTACCGCCAGTTTCAGACACTAAAGGTGTGGGTGTTGTAGATGAAGGCTTGGGAAGTGGTGGGGGACAAAATGTACGAACCATCTGGGTCCCTGGCCGTCTAGTCCTGTTAGGCATTCGTACAGCAAGAGTGGAAAACTGCTGCTTGGGCCCGGATTTCAGAAAATCTAAGAAAGAAGCAATAAATCCTGTTTTGACTTCTGGTTGTTTTTCCTCCACCTCTTTGATCTTCTGTCTCATTTTTTCTTGATGCTGATAACCATCATGGCAGCTTTCTGAGGAAGGAGGAGTATACGGTAAGTAAATATCTGTTCCCCTTGGATTCTGGCGTTTGCCTTGGGCAGGTCTTTTCAGCTGTTTCTGATTACTGTTGTCTTCCTCTTTAACTTGCCCTTTTCCTTTAGCTCTTTTCTTTTGAAGGTTAAAATGCATTAAATCTTGGTTTTCTTCTTCAATCTTGACACTGACTGCATCCCCAGATTGGGCCATGGCCAACAGTGCAAGTGCACTCCTAGCTGGGTTCATTGACACACCACTGTCGTCACCCCCTAAGGTAAATTCACTCTCTGATGTAGCATTCTCTCCACTTATACTTCTACTACTAGAAACAAACTCTTGGTTTCTGTTATTATTTAATGTACTATCAACAGGAGCTTCACTGTCTTCTTCAGATTCAAGATTGGTAGCAGACTGTTTCTTGAATGGGCCAGAACTTTGCTCCTGGACTTCATGACTTGGTCCAACCACTGCTGAAGTTACTTTAGTTGGTATATTTTGACCAGGTGTTTCAATGTGCTGTTGATCAAGAGTCATTTTTGACTGAAGGGCAGGTACTGGTGAAAGGTTCACAGTAACCTGATTTCCATTTAAGGAAGTATCATTTATATTCTGTGGCTTTCCTACTGTAGCTGTCATAGAGTTAAAATCTGAAGTCACATGCCTGACATCTAATGACTGCTGAAAATGAGATTTAGAATCACCATCTTCAACAGCCTGCATGGTTTCATTTGAAGTTGACTTGGAAAAATCAGTAGGTGTAACTCCACAAGCTGCTGCTGTAGCTGCTAAGATATCATCTACATTTGATAAAATATTTCTTTCATCACTAAGAAGCACTGCCTCTGGGAAACACATCGATCCAAGAGAAACAAACTGATTCTTTGAATCATGTTGATTTGTTTCACTAAAATGGCCCTTTGTTGTTAGATGTTGTTGTAATGGTTTTGAAGACTCAGAGAGGTCCATTTTCATAACTTCAGAATTTTGAGGATGGAGTTGCTGCTGAGAATGATCACCATTGCTTTGAATAACATGACCTTCCATCTGAAGGAAGGGATGTACTATTTGTTGAGGGCTTTGAACACGCTGTGCTTGTAAAGATGCCTTTACTTGACCTAAACCTGCCTGCAGTATTGACTGCTGAAGAATTTGTAAATCACAGGCAGAATCTAAAAGGACCTGTGTATTAGGAAGAGATGCCTGATGGCCATGCCCTAAAGCATGATTTGGAATTTGAATCTGAGATGAAGCATTAATTATTTGATCGTGCTGTTCCTGGACCTTGGACTCATGCACCTTAAGTATGAGAGGATGTTGCTGCTTTAAGTCTTTAGTATTCAACCTTATTTGTGGAGTCTGTATTAAATTAGTTGAGTTCTTAAGATCAAGGGTAGCTGCATTATTGACTTGGCCAATTTGTTGGTTAAGTTGTGTCACTGAACCAACAACACTTTCTTCTTTTTTTGATGCTTGCAGAGCAACCCCAATAACTTGATCTTCAAGACGGGAATTACTTCTGATTACACTCTGAGAATATCTGTCATCTGCCTTTGACACCTTATAAGTTGATTCTTGAGCATTAATTTCTCCATCAGATAGCCTTTGGGTTGATGACTCAAGAGATGCTTGTGGCTGCAACACCTGTAACTCTTGCATTGGAAAACCATCTTCTTGCTTTGAAGATGGATACACATCTGAGTCAAGCTTTCTTTCAGCATAAGACTTTGGGTCAGGGGAAGTTATGTTATTTTGTAATGTCTGACAATGAGTAGAGGATGCAAAAGATGATGACTGGACAGCAGGCAAAAACTTCTGGGACTGGGGAGATGATGACTCTTGAGTCTGAACATTTTGGGAAGAATGCATAGAAATATAATTCTGGGTCGGGCTAGAGTCTGGCAAATTCTGAGCCCGAGAGGCAGAAGAATAAGAAAGAGAAGGGGCTGTTAATGTTAGGGACTCCCCTGAAGCATAGCTTTCTGAAAGACTAACAACTGACAAAACTTGTGATTGAGATGAATAGCTAACCTGTGTCTGGCTAACTGGTGATAAACCCTGAGAGTGACCAGATGAGTAACTTTGAGACTGACTTACTGAAGACAGATCTCTTGTTTGAGCAGGGTAATTCTCATTTGTAACTGAAGACAATACCTCTTGCTGATTAGATGAATAATTAAGCGTCTGATTTTCAGGAGTTACAGTCTGAGATGACCCAGAAAAAGTCAATGTTTTATACAAGGGTGGCAATTTCTCAACCTTGCTGGACCTATAAACCTGTGAATGAACAATAGATGGCACATTATGTGGCTGTACTAAACCGTAATTTTGGGACTGACTAACTGATAAAAGGCTTGGTAGCTGCGCTGTAGAATAAATTTGTGCTTGGCCCGATATTACAGAACTCTGATTATGTAAAGGTTTGGAATAGCTTAGTGTTTGCACAGGAGGAATTATACTTTGAGGTTTAGGGGTCTTGGTTGATGTCAGTGGTTGTTCTGTAGAACAGCTTTTTATTTTTGTAGTAGAAGGAGGATACCCTGATGATGGAATCGCAGATGAGTAAGACTGAGCAAGTTCCACTGAGACCTGGGAGGTCTTCTGTTGTAATCCTCCGTTGCTCACCTGAGTGGAATCTCCAATTGGGCTACAGGATAAAGATGACTGCCTGGTTGTTTCCTGAAAATTAACTACACTTGAATTTGATAGATAACTATGTAAGGAGTGCTGTGAACCAGTCAGTTGTGCCTGAATTGACTGGGTACCTGAAGGCCGCTGATGGTGTTTAATAACACTACATTCTCGAAGAAGAGCTCTTTCAATGGAAGCAGTAGAACTAGTAAAGAGAGTTGAACTGTAGGCTTGAGGAGTCTGCTGGGATCCCCCAAGTGCTGAAGGCAACAAACTAAATTGAGGTTGTAAAAGATGGGGTGCAGACTCTTGAGCTGAGCGGTATGTTGAAGACTGAGGTGGTATGCTGTTACTTAATACAGAACTGCCCAGGCGCTCAAATGCCAAAGCAGTTGGAACAGTTCCCTGGGAAGTCTTGATTTGTAGCAAAGGGTCATGATGACTTAAAATTCCATTTGATGTAGTGTTAAAAGTTGAATCCTGAAGCACCAAAGGTGAAGTGGTAGCAAAGTTTCTATTGCTGAAGGTGGTGGGATGCTGATAAGCAGAGAGAGATGGTGGAAGTGTTCCAGTGCTTGGCAAAGGTCCAGTAGCAAACAGCTCAGTTGCTGCTGAGGAATGCATGCCTATGAAGAAAAGGCACAAAGATTTTTATGTAATTATGGCACAATTACTTTATGTTTTCATAGTAATGACTTACATAACCCTCAACTCATCAAAATGTCTTAAGACTGAAAAACCTGACCAGTTAGTTCTGCATGTAAATTTTGAAAATTACATTTCAAAATAGCTAGCTTCTTTCTTTCTTTTCTTTTTTTTTTAAGAGACAGGGTCTTACTCTGTTGCCCAGGCTAGAGTGCAGTCTTGCGATCATAGCTCACTGCAGCCGCAGTGTCCCAAGTAGCTGAGACTACAGGCGCATACTCCCAAACCTGGCTAATTTTTAAATTTTTGTAGAGATGGGGTCTTGCAATGTTGCTCAGGCTATCTTGAACTCCTGGGCTCAAGTGATCCTCCTATCTCGGTCTACCAAAGTGATGGGATTATAGGTGCAAGCCACCACGCCTGGATTAGCTAGTTTTCATAGAGTAAAAATGAAGTTACAATGATATCAGCAATTCATATCTGTAATTGTTATATAATTTATATATAGTTTGATAAGGTCATAGGAAAATGAAGAAATCAGTAAAAATGTACATATCTCTAGTGATTAATTTATCCCAAAGTACCAACACAAAATACCAATGGACAAACCAAAATGTACATAACATTAAAATGGAAAAAAAAAAGCTAAATTGCCTACATCTAACATGATAAATAAATATAAAAAAACAGTGAACTGCAGTTTCTTTTACCAAAATATATTCACTTTAAAAATCTCTTGCATTTCAAGCTTTCACTTCCTATGAACAACTTCCCAATCATAATAGATGCATGTTTATCATGAAAAGTTGATCAGAAATTAACAAAGTACTGTCAGAAAGAGACTGTTAACATTTCAGGACAGCATTTTAGCCACATATAGCAAAAGTAAAAATGGGTTTACCCTTGTGATCTGAAAGTTCTATAGAAATTTATTCTAAAGAAATGAGTGCATACAAAAATATTTGTACCAGATATTCATTATAGTTATTGTTTACAGTAAGTAGAAACAACAAAAAGTCCATAAACAAGGGATCAATCAAATAATTATGGCATACCATAATAATACTATTGCCATAAACATTAAGGTGGATACATATGTTTTGACATAGAAGGATATCCAATAAAAATAACAAACTGTTAATTCCTCTTTGAAAAGTTAGGAACTATCACTTTCCACTTTATATACCTTTTTACTATTTAAATGTTTTATGTGAACCTCCATTAAATTTTTTTTTCATTTTTGGAAAAATGGGGAAAACAATTCTCTGGCTCTTTGAAAAATATTTTCCTACTTTCCATTAAATATCCAAAAAGAATTATTACTACAAAGATAGAAAATATCTAGTGGCACTTGAAAGAATAAATAACACTTAGAAATGTTTAAAATAATACACTGAACTAGAATAGACTTTTGAGATAACATAGTTCAACTCCTTTGTTCTAGCAATTAGGAAACTGGGGTTGACAGGTGATGTGACTTGCTGAGGGTCAAGTGATATTCATGAAACTCTAATCAATTGACTCTACTGCTCTTTACCAGAGATCTCCTATTGTTCTTTTGTGTGTGTTGCGGTGGGGGGTTTAAAACATAATAAGTAAACAGTAATAAAGAACCGACATTTAACTAAATGTAAAGTTACAAATAATGGATTGATTCAGTTTTAGTCGTTATTATGAGGTGTTTTATGTCACATATGTCAAATCATGTTTAAAGAACCAATTGTAATTACATAGTGACTGACATTATCACAGTTATGCCTAGAATGAGGAAGAGGCTAGTTAGAAAGGACAGAGAATATCTGGGGCTTAAAGTGGTAGTAAGGAGCTTCTATTTCTTGAAATCCTTCTATCCAGTAGAGTGATAAAAGATCTTTCTCACTTCACTTACTTCTGCATGATTTATTAGATTAATGTAGAAGGGAGTCACAGAGGCTAGCAAATTCCCCACAGTATGCCCACAGACGATATTTTGAAATGCATCTAATGATCATATTGTAATCTCAAACATGCCAAAAGATGATGTTCCTTATCCTAACACACTAACACTAATACCTTCTTCCAACTAATGGTGTATTTATATGTTGTGTATGTTTTTGTCTCAATTTCATTTTTATTTCCCATTTAGAGTACATTAGTTTAGGTCCAGTTTAATGTGCTCAAAAATCCATTAAATTCCTTTTAAATGGCCGTATGATAGTAAAATCAGTCGTGCTCTAAGAAAAAATAAAAATAAAAAAACTTCTACCTACTAACCTGGGAGTCCAAGCCCTTCTGAATGCAATTCACTTATGGGATCAGATACAAATTGCAAAAATGAATTGTTAAAAATTGAATCCTAGGCCGGTCGCTTTTGGGAGGCTGAGGCAGGCAGATCGAATGAGGTCAGGAGTTTGAGACCAGCCTGGCCAATGTGGTGAAACCCCGTCTCTACTAAAAATGTAAAAATTAGCTGGGCGTGGTGGTGCATGCCTGTAATCCCAGCTACTCAGGAGGCTGAGGCACAAGAATCACTTGAACCTGGGACGCAGAGGTTGCAGTGAGCCAAGATTGTGCCATTGCACTCCAGCCTGGGCGACAGAGTGACACTCTGTCTCAAAAAACAAAACAAAACAAAATTGAAACCTAAAAAACCACAAAAACTTTAAAAACAAACTATACAAGAGTAAAAACACTTCACAGAAATATTAACAGATTTTCTTTTGTTTTATTTTAAAACTTCTTCAACTCTCAAGTTTCAGCATGAATATACTGATAGGAAAATCTAACTAAATACATGAAATATATAATTATTTCAGGAAGTAAAAAATAAAGCTATGTTTTAAAATATTATTTTATTTCACCAAATCATTGATTATCCCCTTAGAAGCAGGAAAAAAAATGTTGCTAAGGCAAACTGAGAAACTTCTATTAGTGGAATTTACATCAGAATGTTAAAATACTATTTCCTATACCTATCCTTTAAAAACATATTCTCAAATAAACTATGACATTTCTTAAGACAAAACTCCAAAAAAAATTCCTGTCATACTACAAAAAACAGAAATATATAGATATAATTTCTGATGAGAAACGGTTGAAAAGTAAAATAAGAAAAATGAAATAGAAAAGCACATTATAGACCTTGTAATTATTGCTGGAAAATGGGCACATCATAATATCAACTTGTAATGTCTCTTATTAGTGATTTAATCTATCCAATTAAGGATAACTTTATATAAAACTAACAATGAAATGAGTCCCAAGATTTTTTTTACTATAACACCTACCCATTCTGAAGTCACTAAAATAAATTTTAATCTTTGCTTCTTTCAAGTAGACAAGTAATTGCTAGATATAAACCTTATATGAGACCTTCTTTAATCATTATCTACCCCTCAATGTCAACTTACTAGTTTTTGTCAGAATGCTAAAACTAAATTTCTGCCAGTAATAAATTCTTGAATTTTATCCACCTGAAAATTTTGAAAAATTCCAGGTCTTAAAGTTCAGTGGAAAATCAATATTGTAACAAAACTCCCAGCCACAATGACAAGGCCATCAAATGTATATGTTTCATCAGCATTTTTATAGGACTTAAAAATTCTAGAAACAGAAAATCACCTGTCTGCCAGGATGGAGCCCTGAATTGTGGTAAGAGAGTAGTTCCTGAAGCAGCAGCCTGAGCAGTTCGGGATTCAGCAGTAGACAGAAAATTCATCACTGAAGACTCTTTAGTGTTACTGCTGGCACTGTTCACACTAGTATCAAATATTCCAGAAAGACCTAAATTTGAAGATAAAATATATCCCAAAGTAAAAAAAAAAAAATTTACTTGTATAAATTATATTCCTGACTCTATTTTAAAATTTCTGAAAATTAAGGCCAAAACATTCTACAACCCCAGATGGTTTTATTTTGATAGTAAACATATTAATTTGACCAAGCATATTTATAATTTAAAATCTCCAAAGATGCATGAAAGAAGATCTTTTAATTTATTAATTATATAAATATTCCGTTGGTAAAAACCAAAGCTTTGGTCGGGCGTGGCGGCTCATGCCTGTAATCCCAGCACTTCTGGAGGCCGAGGTGGAAGGATCACAAGGTCAGGAGTTTGAGACCAGCCTGGCCAATATGGTGAAACCCCGCCTCTACTAAAAAATACAAAAATTAACCGGGCATGGTGGCAGGTGCCTGTAGTCCCAGCTACTCGGGAGGCTGAAGCAGGAGAATCACTTGAACCCGGGAGGTGGAGGTTGCAGTCAGCCAAGATCACGCCACTGCACTCCAGCCTGGCCGACAGAGCGAGACTCCATGTCAAAAATAAAAACAAAAAACAAGCTTTTACTCTCATTTCATTTCCCATGGCATGAGTATGTCCTATACATTCAGAACTCAACACATGAAAATTGGTTTTTCTTCTTATTCACTAAATGTACCCAGACTCGTAGTATAATTCACAAGAGAATTGTTACCAGTAGGCTGAGGTGTGGGAGCATATCCAGGAAGCTGATGAGAGGCTGCAAAACTCTGTCTCTGAAGGAGATCTGTTTCAGAGTGTGAGGGATGTCCTTCTTCATAGCTTAAACTAGAGGACATTAAAAATCAGTGACCAAAATACACAGTCCAAACCATCTGATAAAAAAAACTTCTAGAAGAACAACTATAAAAGTAGTAGAAACCTTTGACCAATTTCCTGACCTATAGATTCGTGGATCAAACACAGTCTGACAATACTATCACAATGGAGGAAATATATTTAAGATGCATTAGTAAGAAAAATAATACACAGTATTTTCTTTAATTCAATTCTACCTCAAACAAGAGTCTTTTTACTGGGAGAGGTAATGTGGTACAGAAGAAAAAGTAATATCCTGGACAACAGAGAGGTGAATTCATTGTACAGGCTCTACTTCTGGCTTACAGTGTAATTTAAATAAGGGACTCAATTATTGTTGGACTAATTTCATCTGTATAAAAAAAGGACCAGATGAAATAACCTCCATAACCTCTCTAATTATAGTATTCTATGGAATAACAGATAATTCAAATAAATAATTAATACTATTTCCCAATAACTCACTGAGAAAACTTCAAGCTCAAACATTTTCAGAGTAGCCCAAAACAAGATTTTTCCCCCTCTTCTTGGAAAGGAAAGGTTATGTTTTTATTTTGAATATTTTAAACCCATAGAAAGAAATCAAAAATACAATGAACACCATATACCTGTCCCTTAAGATTCAACAACTATTAAGATTTTGTAACATTTATTTTCCTCTATACACACATACCCACTTTTCTTTTTTTTGCTAAACAACTTGAAAATAACTTGGAGATATCATCAGTTGCATCTCATAGGAATAAGGACATTCTTATATAACCAGATATCATTATCAGACTTAAACACATTTAGCATTAATTCAATAATCATGTAATATATAGGTCATATTCCAGTTTCCCCAATTATTGCCAAACATCTAAAAGTTTTAAGCTCTTTTTAACTAGGATCCAATCAAAATTCAGTAATTTCATTTGGTTATTTCTCTAACTTAGTATCAGTGCCTTCACCCAACCCCTAATCCCAAATCCCTTGACCTTTTGAAGAATCCAGGGCAACTAAATTATAAGATGTCCCAAATTCTGGATTTGTCTTAAGAAGACAGGGTCTCTGTCACCCAAGCTAGAGTGCAGCAGCTGGATCATAGCTTATTGTAGCCTCCAACTCCTGGGCTCAAGCAATCCTCCTGCCTCAGCCTCCCAAGTAGCTGGGACTACAGACATGAGCCACCACACCTGACCTGTTGTGTACTTCTTATTGCATCACATGAGGAGGCACACAGTGTCAGTTTGTCTCATTACTGACGATTCTGAGCTTGAAGTCGTTAAGGTAATGTATCCTTATTAATGTCTGCAACACAGCCTGTTGTGGTGGCTCATGCCTGTAATCCCAGTACTTTGGGAGGATGAGGCAGGCGGATCACTTGAGGTCAGGAGTTTGAGATCAGCCTGGCCAACATGGCAAAACCCCATCTCTACTAAAAATACAAAAATTAGCTGGGCGTGGTGGCATAGGTCTCGAATTTCAGCTACTCTGGAGGTTGAGGCACGAGAATCACTTGAACCCAGGAGGCAGACGTTGCAGTGAGCTGAGATTGCACCATTGCACTCCAGCCTGGGTGACAGAACAAGACTCTGTCTGCAAAAAATAAATAAATAAATAAATAAATAAATAAATAAATAAATAAATAAAAAAGCGATGTATCAACATTCCAGTAGTTTTGCATCTTTGTCAATACTTGATCTTTTCAGTCTTCTTAATTTTAGCCATTCTAGGTGGGTTCAGTGGAGTATCACTGGGCTTAATTTGCATTTCTCTGATAACATACGAGGAGGTGCATTTTTCTGTATGTTTGTAAGGCTATTCTTTTAGCTTCTCTAGTGAAGTTTATTCAAATCTTTAGCCCTTTTAAAAGATCTAGGTTGTCATCAATTTCATTACTGGGTATACATCCAAAAGGAAACAAGTCATTCTACCAAAAAGACATTGACTTGCATGTTCATTGCAACATTATTCACAATAGCAAAGACATGGAGTCAACCCACACGTGCCCATCAACGGTTGACTGGATAAAGAAAATGTGGTACACAAACATCTTAGAATACCACACAACCATTAAAAAGAACAAAATCATGTCCTTTGCAGCAATATGGATGCTGCTGGAGGCTATAATCCTAATCAAATTAATGCAGGCACAGAAAACCAAATACCACATGTTCTCATTAATAAGTGGGAGCTAAACATTGCGTACTTGGAAATAAAGATGGCAATAATAGAAACTGGGGGCTACTAGAGGAGGGAAGAAGGGGGTAAGGACTGGAAAACAAACTGTCAGCTACTATGCTCAGTACCCAGGTGACAGGATCATTTGTATTCCAAACTTCAGCATCATGCTGTAACAAACCTGCACATGTACCCCCTGAATCTAAAATAAAAGCTGAAAATAAAACCAAACCTGGGTTGTTTCCCTTCTTATTGGGTTTTAAGAATTCTTTACATACCCTGGATCAAAATTCATTCTCAAATATATGTATTGGGAGTATTTTCTCCCAGTCTATTGGCTTGCCTTTTCATTCTCTTTCATTTTCCAGTGTCTTTATTTATTCCTTTTTTTTTTTTTTTTTTTGAGACAGGGTCTCACTCCGGTCACCCAACCTCAATTGCAGTGGCATGATCACGGCTCACTACAGCCTCCACTTCCCGGGCTCAGGTGATTCTCTCACCTCAGTCTCTCGAGTAGCTGGGACCATAGGCGTGCACCACCACCACCAGCTAACTTTTTGTAGAGACAAAGCTTGTCCATGTTGCCCAGGCTGGTCTGGAACTCCTGGACTCAAACAAGCAATCTACCCACTTTGGACTCCCAAAGTGCTAGGATTACAGGTGTGAGCCACCACACCTGGCCTCCACTGTCTTTAAATAATGAGGTTTTAATTTTTGCTCAGTGTGAATTATCAAGATTTTTTGTTTTATAGTTTGTGCTTTTGGTGTCCTAAGAAATCTTCACCAACCCAAAGTCACTAATACATTCTCCTATTGTTTTATTTTGTAAGTTTTAATGTTTTTGCTTATATGTTTAGGTCTGTGACTCATTTTGAGATCTTTTTGTGTGTATGGTATGAGGTAAAGTTCAAGGTTCAAATTTTTCACATTTTCGCTTTTTAAAAATTAGGTATAATTTGCATAGGTAGAATTCACCTTTTCTAGGGCTTTTTTAAATGAGATGGAGTCTTGCTCTGTCGCCAGGCTGGAGTGCAGTGGTGCGATCTCAGTTCACTGCAACCTCCACTTTCCGGGTTCAAGCGATTCCCCTGCCTCAGCCTCCTGAGTAGCTGGGACTACAGGCACCCGCCATCACACCCGGCTAATTTTTTATATTTTAGTAGAGATGGGGTTTCACCATGTTGGCCGGGATGGTCTTGATCTTCTGATCTCGTGATCCACCCGCCTTGGCCTCCCAAAGTGCTGGGATTACAGGTGTGAGCCACCGTGCCCGGCCTTTTTTTTTGAGACAAGAGTCTCACTCTGTTGCCCAGGCTGGAGTGTAGTGGTGTGATCTCGGCTCACCACAACCTCCACCTCCTAGGTTCAAGCAATTCTCCTGCCTCAGCCTCCTGAGTAGCTGGGATTACAGGCGTGCACCACTGCGCCAGGCTAATTTTTTTTTGTATTTTTAGTAGAGACGGGGTTTTGCCATGTTGGTCAGGCTGGTCTTAAACTCCTGACCTCAGGTGATCTGCCCACTTCGGCCTCCCAAAGTGCTGGGATTACAGGCGTGAGCCACTGTGCCCAGCCCTCTAGTGTGTGTTTTCATACCTGCATAAACAAACCACAGAAACCAAGGGAGAGAACACTTCCATCACCACAAAGATTCCCCCTGCCTCTCTGCAGTGAACCCATCCTACCACCAAGTCCCCAGATCTGTTTTCTGCTTCTGTGATTTTGCCTTTTCCAAAATGTCATATAGATGGAATCATTTAATATGTAGTCTTTGTGTCTGGCTTTTCACTTAGTGTAACACCTCTGAGATTCATCTATGTTGTTATTTCTATCAGTGATTCATTCCTTTTTATTGCTGAGCAGTATTCCATTGCATGGTTGTACCACAGGTTGGTTTGTTTTTTAAAACCTTCTCACCAGTTGAGAGACATCTGGGGCAATCATGAATATAGCTGCTATACACATGTGCATAAGTTTTTGTGTGAACATAAGTTTTAATTTCACTTGAGTAGAGAGATGGCTGAGTTATACAGTAATGTATCTTTAACTCAGATAAACTGCATGTTTTCCAGAGTGGCTATAACATTTTACATTCCCACCAATAATGTATGTCTAGTAACTCTGCATCCATATGGGCCCTAGGTATTGTTAGTTTGTAAGTTGTTACTTAAAAAAAAAAATAGGCCGGGCATGGTGGCTCACGCCTATAATCCCAGCACTTTGTGAGGCTGAGGTGGGTGGATCGCTTGAAGTCAGGAGTTCAAGACCAGCCTGGCCAACATGGCAAAACCCCATCTCTACTAAAAATACAAAAATTAGCCAGGCATGGTGGCACAGGTCTGTAATTCTAGCTACTCGGGAGGCTGAGGCATGAAAACCAATTGAACCTGGGAGGCGGAGGTTGCAATGAGCCGAGATCACACCACTGCACTCCAGCCTGGGTGACAGAGTGAGACTCTGGCTCAAAAAAAAAAAAAAAAAAAAAAATTAGCCATTCTAATTGATGTACAATAAGTATCTCACCATCTGCCATGTAGAAATCTTTAGTAAAAGTACTACTGAAATATTCTGCCCATTTTTATTGGGTTGTTTTCTATTACTGAGTTTAGAGAGTTGCTTATATATTCTGGAGCAAGTTCTTGGCCAGTTATGTTTTGCAAATATTTTCTCCCACCCGGTGGCTTTCATTCTTGCAACAGTATCTTTAGAAGGGCAAAAGCTCTTAATTTTGATCAGTTTTTAATTTATCTATTGTACTTTTGGTGGTGTACCTAAGAAATCTTTGCCTAATTTAAGATCTCAAAGATTTTCTGTTTTCTTCTGGAAGTTTTATAGTATTAACTTTTCCATTTAGGGCTATAATCCATTTGGAGTTAATTTTTTATACGTGGTGTAAAAGGTTGATACTCATTTTTAAAATTTCAATGTGCGATGGTTCCAGCACTATATATTGAAAAGATTATTCTTTACCTATTGAATTGTCTTGGCACCTCTGTCAAAAACCAATAAACCATATATATGGGTTTCTATTTCTTGACTATAGTGTTACACTGACCAATGTCTGTTCATATAAATCAATCCACAAATAACTATATTTTTATACAACTGTGTTTATAGTGTCTTCAATTCAATAACACAAATCTTCCAAATTTGTTCTTTTTCCAAAATTGTTTTGCTGTGCTAGGTAGTTCCACATACATTTGAGTTAGCTTGTCAATTTCTATGACAACAAAAAAACTGTATTGAATCTAAACATCAATTTGGGAAAAACTATACCATCTTAAAAGTACTGAATCTTTTAAGCCATGAATATGGTACAGCTGTTTCTGGTCTTTAATTTCTCTCAACAATCTTTTGTAGTGTTTAGTGTATAATTCTTACATGTATTTTGTTAAATTTATCCCTAAGTGTCTTTTGCTATTCTGTTCTAAATGATTTTGTAAAAAAACAAATTTGGAATACAACTTTCATACCATAAAGGTCACCCTTTTAAAGTATGCTAATCAGTGGTTTTTAGAATATTCAGACTTGTCCAACTGTCACCACAATCTAATTTTAGAATATTTTGATCATCCCCCCCAAATAAACGTGTATCCATGAGCAACTGGTCCTATTTCCCTCCTCTCTTCTGCCCCTGGCAATCACTGATCTACCTTCTGTCTCTATGGATTTGCCTATTCAAAATAACTCATAAAAACTGAATCATACTACCTGTGGCCTTTTATGACTGGCTTCTTTCACTAAATATGTTTTCAAGGTTCACCTTATTACAACATGGATATATCAGTACCTCATTCCTTTTTAGGGCTGAATATTCCATTGTATGGATATACCACATTTTGTTTATCCATTCATCAGCTGATGGACATTTGGGTTGTTTCTACTTTTGGGCTATCATAACGATGCTATGAACATTCATGTACAAGTTTTTGTATAGATGTATGTTTTAATTTCTCTTGGGTATATATATCCAGGAGTGAAATTGCTGGGTCAAATGAAAACTCCATGTTTAACATTTTGAGAAATGGCCAAACTGTTTTCCAAAGTGGCTGTACCATTTTACATTCCCACCAGCAAAGTATAAGTTATAATTTCTCAACATTCTCACTAATATTTATTATCTGTATTTCTCATCTATAGTAGACATCCTAACAGGTGTGGAGTGGTTCTGATTTGCATTTACCTCATTATGACTAATAATGTACAGCATCTCTGCATGTGCTTACTGACCACTTGCATCTTCTTTGGACAAGTGTCTACTCACATGCTTTGCTCATATTTTAACTGGGTTATCTTTTTATTATTAAAGTATAAGAGTTCTTTAAATATGCTGGATACAAATCCCCGATAAATCTGATTTTTAACATTGTTTTCCATTCAGTGGTTATCTTTTCACTTTCTGATGGTATCATGTACAGCACAAAAATTTTTTATTTTGAAGTCCAATTTATTTTTTCCTTTGTCACACTCATGCTTTTGATAGCATATCTAAGAAATAACTTGTAATCCAAGGTCATGAAGATTTATGCCCATGTTTTCTCTAAGAGTTTTTTAGTTTTAGCTTTTACATTTAGGATGACAGATCCATTTCAAATTAATTATTTTATATGGTGTGAGGTAGGAGTCCAGTTTCATTCTTTTGCTACTCAAAGTATAATGTAGAAATCCCTTAATACAAAAACCCAAATGCCCAACTGCTATTTTCAAAATACTCTTACGATTTTATATGCTTTTAAAATGATCATAGCAATCATTCTCTATATTAAAACAAGCTACATGTGTATTTCCTTACTCTGGCGGACAGAGCCCAGAAGCAATGACACTCCAGCAGCAAAGAACATACCTAGTGCCCAGATTGGTTTCTCGTACCATTCTCCAAGAAAAAGGAACCAAGGCTCCTTGGAGAAATGGCTGATTCTAGTACTGGGGCAGGAAATATACAAGATGAGTCTAGAGTATCTTGTAGTGCCAGAAAGTAAGAAAGTGCTAAAAAGAAAGGGGGCAGAAAGGGAGGGAGAAAAAAAGAAAAGACATTTATGTCAAAGGAACACACAAGCTATTTGAAAAGAGTTCCCAATGACCAAAGCAGGAACATTTTGAGCAACAAAATAGTACTGGCTTGTAACCCGAAGTATAAAATATATATCCATGGGTCCATACTGATAAACGATTGAATAAATAGAGAGGAAGAGACAAATTCCCCTTGAAGAATTCCCAATTAATTTATGTAGATTCTCTACCCTGAAGGAGGGAGACCATAACTCCCCACTCAGGTGTGGACTGCACACAGTGACGCCTTTCCAAAGAGTATAGTATTGAAAGGAGGAAAAAAAGAGTAACTTTACAGTGTAGAAACCTGACAAGAATCGACCAGGTGATAAAGGCTTTATCAGTAGTGATAAATCACGTTGATAGTATGTACCACTGACAGGATGTGATGAAAGTGACACTTTGCCCCTGTGGTCTCCCTCCTCAAAACCAGTAACACCGGTCTAAACATGAAAAGAAAAAACATTAGGCAAATTCCAAAAGAGGGGTATCCTACAAAATACTTGCCCAGTACTTCTGAAAACTGTGAAGGTTATCAAAAGCAAAGTAATAAGAGGTTGAGGCCAGAGAAGTGCTTGATACCAGACTGAGCAACATAGCAATACTCAGTCTCTAAAAAACTTTTAAAAATTTGCCAGGCCTAGTGGTGCTTGCCTGTAGTTTCCAGCTACACATTTCGGCCCAGGAGTTCGTAGGTGATCATGCCACTGAACTCTAGCCTGGATGACAGAGCAAGACTCTGTCTCTAAAAAACAAAACCGCAACAACAAAAACAACAAACTAAGCTGGAAAAACTGTCACAGATAAGAGGAGACAGAAAAAGACATTAAGTAAATCTATGGAAATCTGCATAAACTATAGGCTTTAGTTAATAATACTGTATTAATATTGGTTCATTAACTGTAACAAATGTCCCATACCAATGCAAGATGGTAATAATAGGGAAAACTAGGTGGGGGGTGTATGGGAACTCTATACTATGTTCCTGATTTTTCTGTAAATCTAAAACAGTTCCCAAAAATGAAGTCTACATTTAAAAAAATGTAAGCCATGCTAAATCTAAACACAACTTCCTAAGCGTTAGAATAATTATTGATCTAATTTATAAATATCAGGGGTTTTTGGGGGGAAGAGGGTGTTCCTTATAAATCTTTGCTAACTCCAATCACTTCTTGAACAGACAAGGAATTATTATACCTAACTGGTTTCCTTGCCTCTGCTCTTGCCCCTCCTTCCCCTCATCCTCAGCCTGAGTCATTCTCTTAAAAAGGTAAAATCAAATCATGAAAAACTTTCCAACGGCTTCCCACCTCACAAGAGCCACAACTTCTTACAAAGTTCTCAAGGCACTACATGATCTAGTTGCTGCTCCCTTACACCTCTGATTTTAGCTCCTATTTTTTACTCCCAGCCAGACAGGTCTCTTGCCTCATCCCTCAAACTCACTCCTCATTTCCCCTTAGGTCTCTGCTTAAATTTCACCTCTCAAGATTTCCCTGACCACCCCATAAAAAACAACATCCTTACTCTGTCCTCTCTCTCCACATGCCCTAACCCTCTTTATTTTTCTCCATGCATTAATAAACACTCAACATACTATATGTATTTACTATATATAGTATGCTAGTTTGCCCAGTATGCACTGAAAGGTAAACTCCTTAAGGACAGGGCCTTTGCTTTATTCACTGGTACATCCCAAGCACCCAGAATAGTATGTGGTACACAGCAGGTAGTCATAAATAATTACAACCCATGTACAGTTTCGGAAGAGAAATCAGCTTCAAGTTAGAGCTCAATAATCTCTCAAACTTCTACTGAGTGCCTACTTGACTGGGCAGGCATCCTGTTAAGGACTAGGGATTCAAAAATGAAAGATTAAGCCAGTAGGTCACTCCATGCTAATTAAAAACTGAATTATCTGAGACTTAATATTATTAATTTTAGGCATTATATCAGGATTTCATATAAGGCCAAAACCTACTTGAGCTACCATCTAATGATATTAATTACTGAAGCACAAAACAAGAGAGCTCCACATCATAAGTCACAGAAAGCAATACAGAGAAATGCTGGTTTTTTTTTTTTTTTTTTTTTTTGAGACAGAGTCTCACATTGTCACCCAGGCTGGAGTGCAATGGCACGATCTCAGCTCACTGCAACCTCTGCCTCTGAGGTTCAAGCGATTCTCCTGCCTCTCCCAAGTAGCTGGGACTATAGGCCGGTGCCACCACGCCCAGTTAGTTTTTGTATTTTTAGTGGAGATGGGGTTTCACCATGTTGGCTAGGCTGGTCTTGAACTCCTGATCTCAAGTGATCCGCCCACCTCGGCCTCCCAAAGTGCTGGGATTACAGACATGAGCCACCACACCTGGCCATAAAATAGGGTTTTTTAGTATCTTGTGTTCAATGGGATAAAGATTACATTTGACATTAAGTTAGCTGTGAATAAAGCAACAGTAGTTAACTGAATTAAGAAAATATTAATAAAATCTCATGCCTCCCTCAAAAAGTTAAACATCATTACCACATGGCCCAGCAACTCTACTCCCATATACCCATGAGAATGGAAACATGTTCACACAAAAACTTGTACATAAATGTTCATAGCAACATTATTCATAATAGTCAAAAGGTGGAAACAATCCAAATGTGCAAAAACTAATAAATGAATAAACAAAACGTGATGTAGTCAAACAAAGGAATACTATTCACCCACGAAGAGGCACAAAATACTGATACATGCTACAACCTGGAGGAATCTGGAAGTACTATGCTAAATGAAAGAAGCCAAACACAAAAGACCACATATAATTCCATTTAGAGTCATGCCCGGCCGGGCGTGGTGGCTCACACCTGTAATCCCAGCACTGCGGGAGGCCGAGGTGGGTGGATCACCTGAGGTCAGGAGTTCGAGACCAGCCTGGCCAGCATGGCAAAACCCCGTCTCTACTAAAAATACAAAAATTAGCTGGGTGTGGTGGCATGCATCTGTAGTCCCAGCTACTCAGGAGGCTGAGGCAGGAGAATCGCTTGAACCCGGGAGGTGGAGGTTGCAGTGAGCTGAGATCACGCCACTGCACTCCAGCCTGGGCAACAGAGCGAGACTCTGAGACTCCATCTCAAAAAAAAAAAAAATAGAGTCATGCCCAACATAACAATGTTTCAATCAACAGACCACATGTACAACTTACAATACCTTATTTTTACTGTACCTTTTCCATGTTTAGGGGTGTTTAGATACACCAATACTTACCATTGTGTTACAACTGCCTAGAGTATTCAGGGCAGTAAGATCCTGTACAGGTTTGTAGCCTAGGATTGACAGATCATACCATATAGCCTAGGTGTGTACAGTCTACACCATCTAGGTTTGTGTAAGTATACCCTAAGATGTTTGCACAGTGATATAATTACCTAACGACACATTTCTCTGAACATACCCCTTTTGTCAGGTGATGCATGGCTATATATGAAATGTCCCAAACAAGCAAATCCATGGAGACAGATTACTGCATTTGCTAGGGTCTGGGGAGAGGGGAAACTAGGAAAAGACTGCTACTGGGTATGTGGTTCTTTATTAGGTAATGAAAATGCTCTAGAAATTAGATAATGGTGATGGTTGTACAACCTTGTGAGTATTCTAAAAATTATTGAATTGTACGATTTAAAATGGTCACTCATCCATGTAAATTGTATCAATAAAAATTATATTCATCCAGCCGAGCGCGGTGGCTCATGCCCGTAATCCCAGCATTTTGGGAGGCCGAGGCAGGCGGATCACCTGAGGTCGGGAGTTGGAGACCAGCCTGACCAACATAGAGAAACCCTGTCTCTACTCAAAATACAAAATTAGCCGGGTGTGGTGGCGCATGCCTGTAATCCCAGCTACTCGGGAGGCTGAGGCAGGAGAACTGCTTGAACCCAGGAGTTGGAGATCACACCATTGCACTCCAGCCTAGGCAACAAGAGTGAAACTCCATCTCAAAAAAAAAAAAACAAAATTATATTCATCCAACCTTAGTGATCATTTTTAATTTTTCATGAACTACGCAACACTACCAAAAGAAGGTGGTTTCTAGATAAGCCTTGCTGTCATGCATGTATTCAATCTTTTATGGTTGGCCCATCTCCATATACCATATAATAATGTTTTTTAAAAATCTGTGCTTTATGGTTTTAAAATCAATTTCAGAAGGTATTAATCTTAGCAATAATAATCTGATAGTACTGGTCTGTTGAGATTGTTTATTTTTTAATCAAAAGCCAGAATTTCTTTTTTATAATCCTAAAAGGAAAAAGCATGCCTCAAAACATGGTCTTGATTTGTAATTCCACGTTTGGACCAGTATAGACTCGTCTTTGAATATAGGTACATTTATGTAAGATAGGACCTACTGTGGCCCAGCATAGCCCTTCTTAATCCCCAAGCCCTGGGTAGTCGTGGTAGGGAGAGAATAGTAAACTTTTACCATCACCTTACAAACTCCAAGTATTACCTCAGCTAAATCCTAGAGGAGAATGAACCAAGTCTCAATCTTCATATTCCCAGCCCTAGCATAAAACAAATCTTCTATCTCCTCCCCACACTCATGAGTAAGGTATGAAATTGAGGACAAGGAAGGTTAGAATTTTGCAAAGGGAAGTATCATCTTCTTTCCGTCACTGTCACATTTTAAAAAAAAATTATAATTTTCTCAAATAACCAAAACAGGCCAGGTGCAGTGGCTCACACCCATAATCCCAGCACTTTGGGAGGCCAAGGCTGGAGGATTGTTTGAGTCCAGTAATTCAAGATCAGCCTGGGCAACACAGTGAGACTCTCTACAAAAAATAATTAGCTGGGCATAGTGGCACCTGTAGTCCAAGCTACTCAGGGGGGCTAAGGTGGGAGGATGGCTTGAGCCCAGCAGGTCAAGGCTACAGTGAGCCATGATCAGGCCGCTACACTTCAGCTTGGGGAACAGAGCAAGACTGTCTCAAAACAAAAAACAACAACAACAAAAATTGAAACAAACCAACAAAGATTAGTTATCAGATTACCACTCTCTACACTGTTTAAGTGTGACCATTTTTTAGTCAACTTCACTATAACAAAGAAAATTAATTTCTAAAGCAGATATAGCTGAGGCAAAAAATTCATCTAAAATGTCCACTCATGCAGTGAAGATGGTATATGACTGTAAGATAAAATGCTTTTAAATATATGCTCTTATGGTTTATACCCAGATATTAATAACATATAAACCTACTCCTTGGGTAGCCTACTCTTATGTTTATGATGCTTAAGAAATAAAACACATTCCAGGTTTAAAAATCAATTAGCAAATGTTTCACGAAATATGTTAAATCTGAGAAAACAAGCCAGTACTTGCACACAAGTAATAAGTTACTTAAGCACTGAATAAATGATTTTGCCTTAAGTAGTCATATCACTTTGTTCTTTTTGTGTTAAATAATTTGGTCACAAATACCTAGAATATAATAAAAATAGAATTCTCTTTAAGCTTTGAAAATATTGTTACAGTTTTAGGTATATCAGCTTTTCATAGTTGAGAAAGATAAACATTCTGGATTGGAAGTTAGGAGCCCCAAATTCCAGTCCTGATTCTGCAAATAAATGCTACAAGACTTTGAGCAAAGTACATAATCTTGTAGAATACTTGTTTTCCTACTTATAAAGCCTAATGTTCTTTGTAGTTCTAATATTCTCAGTTAAGATAAATATTTTTACTTTATTTAGCACACAGTATTCTTTGGTATAAAATCCGAATAGAAATAAACACTAAGTCCACTGAATTAAATCTGTGTGGAACTCTAGCATATACCTATCCCATTCATACCTAAATGCCAAATATTTTAAAATCTTTGTTTTAGCTAATCCAGTTTGATAATTTAAAAGCAAAAACATGTAGCCTAAGAATAATCAGCTCTTATTAAGAAATTATTTATCATGAATTTGAAAAAATAAACGAGGGAACTTTGAAACAACTGTGTAACAGCTGTATAAAAGCATAGCTCTGCAAACAGGCCACAGGATTCAAATCCAGTTCTATATAAATTCTGTGACTTAGAGGCTAGCCACACAGACAATTAGTTAGACTTAACCAAGTCTCCGTTTCCTCAACAGTAAAATATGGGTAATAGTAACACCTACCTTCATCAGGTTGTTGTGAGAGTAAACAATAAAGCACATACGGTCAGCAGCAACTAGCACAGTCCAGCAACTGGCGCATAATGAATGCTGAATCAATGCTACTATTGTTGCACCTAAAGGTAAGTTCTGCATTTATACAACTGACATTTACTGACTGCCAAGTGTTATGCTAGGAACTAGAGAAATAAAAGAGCATAAGTAAATAAACATAACACAATCTGGGAAGACTTCCTCTAGGACATGACAACTGAGTATTAAAAGGACGAGGAAAGACCGGGTGCGGTAGCTCGCACCTGTAATCCCAGCACTTTGGGAGGCCAAGGTGGGCGGATCATGAGGTCAAGAGATCGAGACCATCCTGGCTAACACGATGAAACCTCGTCTCTACTAAAATAAATACAAAAAATTAGCTGGGCATGGTGGCGCGCACCTGTAGTCCCAGCTACTCGGGAGGCTGAGGCAGGAGAATGGCATGAACCCAGGAGGCAGAGCTTGCAGTGAGCCGAGATCGCGCCACGGCACTCCAGCCTGGGCGACAAAGCAAGACTCCATCTTAAAAAAAAAAAAAAAAAAAAAAAAAAAAAGGAAGAGGAGAAATTATCCAGGGAAAGCAAAAGAAAAGAAGGTTCCAAGAAGATAAAAATCACATATATGAAGACCTAGAAATATCCCTAAGATGGCACATTAGAACTGTAGTAATTCAGCATGGTTGTATTGGAGAACAGGGATATGAGGTAGACAGGAACCAAACTATGGAATATTATATACCAAAATAAGGATCTCACATTTTATCTTCAAGGGAATCAAGAGCCTCTCAAGAATTTTAGTAAGAGTTAAATTTATACTTTTTTGAGACAGGGACTTGCTCTGTTGCCCAGGCTGGAGTGCAGTGGTGTGATCATAACTCACCCTAGGTGTGACCTTCCAGGCTCAAGCAATCCTCCCACATCAGCCTTCTGAGTAGCTGGGACCAAAGACGTGCGACACCATGTCTGGCCAGTTTTTTAAATATCTTTTTATAGAGACAAGGTCTCCCTATATTGCCCAGGCTGGTCTTGAACTCCTGGACTCAAGCGATTCTTCCACCTCCACCTCCTAATGTGCTGGGATTAAAGGCGTGAGCCACTTTGCCTGGCCTAAAGAATGGTCTGTAACCAGGCGATGCTCATCAGCATCGCCTGGTTAGTTTTTTCAAACTATATACATCCAGATCTCCCTTTCAGAAATTATTGATTAGTAGTTCTGACATGTGACATGGGACCCTATAAGTTCACTTTGAAAAGTTCAAAAGAATCATTATCTTAGATAATCTGATAAATACTGTGCAGAACAGAACAAACCTTAAAGAGAGAAGGCCAAGATCCTACTGCAGAAATCCAGGTAAGAAATTATGAGGGCAAAACAGTGGCAATAGCTAGATACTTAGGAATTCTTAAAAAATACAATTGAGAAGACTTGCGGGGAAGACAGGAATCATGAATGACAGTGAGCCACCCATAAGGCTGAACAAACATGGACGGTTTCAATTTTGAAAGCACTGAGTTTGAGGTGTTAAAGAGACATGTTGTGAGAAATAATTGAAAGAGGGCTAATGAATATTCCTACTTAGGACTCAGAAGAGAAATCTGAGCTGGAAATAAAAAATTGGGGATCGTTACAAATTGAGTGTTTTTTGAAGTCATGGAAGTAAATGAAAATGTCCAAGAGTGAGTCACATCAGAAGTGGGCTAAGGGCAGAAATTATAGAGACACTGCTTTACACATATGACCAAAATACATTAATTTCCTGCTTCTCAAGGATGTTACTTATCTGCAAATCAAAATTCCTTGCAACTCAACTGAAGTACCACTCTTCCCTCTTCCACTTAAGATATCACAGAAATAAATGAGTAACAATACTATTATAGGGTGTATTAGTCCATTTTCACACTGCTATAAAGAATGATGTGAAACTAGGTAACTTAAAAAGAAAAGAGGTTTAATCGACTTACAGTTCAGCATGGCTGGAGAGGCCTCAGGAAACTTACAATCATGGCAGAAGGTGAAGGGGAAGCAAGGCATGTCTTCACAAGGTGGCAGGAGAGACAGCAAGTGCAAGGGAAACTGCCACTTTTAAATTGTCAGATCTCACGAGAACTCCTTTACTATCGTGAGAACAGCATGGTGGAAACCACCCCCATGAGCCAGTTACCTTCCACATCAAGGTCTCCCTTGACATGTGGGGATTACAATTTGAGATAAGATATGGGTGGGGACACAGAGCCAAACCATATCATAGGGATCAACTCTATCTTATTTAAAGACAATGAGTAATCATTCATAACTTGGTACTTTTTTATTTTTTTATTTCTTCTAAAAAATAATGGGATACATGTGCAGAACATACAGGTTTGTTACACAGGTATACATATGCCATGGTGGTTTGCTGCACCTACTGACCCATACTCTTAAGTTCCTTCCCGTCTTCCCCCACCACCCCCAGGAGGCCCTGGTGTGTGTTGTTCCCCTCTCTGTGTCCATGTCATAACTTGGTACTTTTAAAATCAATTACCTGAGATGCAGATTTAAGGGAAAGGTAGAGGAAGAGGAAACCATAAGGAAGAATAAGAAAGTTTAACTAAAAACTTAAGAGGAAAACCAGGAATGTCTCCAAAAATCAAAGGAACTGTAAGTTTCAAGAAAGGAGGACTAACTGCTGCAGTAAGATTAGACAGCTAGAGAAACCGTTTGAGGAGACAGTAATAATAAATCAAGCACAGCTATAACACACATATTACATATACATTACCTATACAATTATTACATTGTACTATCTCCTCCCACAACCCCTCGCGCTACAAAGTTCTGTGGACCAGAAGGCTAGGACCAAAACAGAAAAAGCCAACTGGAACAATAAAGTAGTTATAACAGTGGCATGAGGGAGGTAGGAAAAGGTATGGAACAGGAAGAAGAAAGTGCTTGTAAATCCTAATTTATGGCCTAGATCTAAAATGTCCATTTTGATTTTTACTCTATTTACCTTTGATCTTAAAGTTTTTGTTTAAAAATTCTCATTATATTGGCAGTGTAGCTGCAGAACATTTCTAAGGTATCCATTTCAACATGCTCAACATTATTTTCAAGGGAAAATTTCAACTTAAGTCTCTATGTCTTTACTGAGTATATGCATGCAAAAGGTAGGAGTGAAAGGCATACACAATGACAAAGTTCCTGCCATCATGACCTATTGTTAACTATGGGGTATTAAACCGCATACAAGTGTCTAGCCAATTCTACAAAATAGAATAAAACAAATATATGGCAGAGCAGGGTAAATTAATTTATTCAACAAATATTAGATATTATGTACCAGGCAATGAGCAAGGCACTGGGGATATAATAAAAGGATAAGTCTTTGAAGAGCTTACAGTTTAGTTGTGAGACAGGGTGGTAAATAAAAGGAAACCAACTAATAAAACAATTATAAACTCTATCAAATGAATAAAGAAGAAAAAAGTCTAAATATAGAGATTATGGGAGAAAGAGGACACAGTAATCAGCAATGCCTCCTGAAGAAGGGATCTTAAGCAAGCCCTGCCCCAAACCAAAGGAAGAGAAAGAACAGTTAGGAAAAGGCCTGAAGTGGGAAGAGTCTGGAACATAGAGAAGCTGAAAGAAGACCAGCATATTGTGAGTGTACTAAGGGAAGTGGGTGAGCAGTAGGAGATCGTGGAAAGGTAGTAGTTAACGGTCAGACATGGAAAACCTTGTGGGCACAATGAGTCTGGATTTCATTCCAACTGCAATGGAAAACCAAAGGATTTTTAAGCATGGGAGTGTCTAAATTACATTTTTTTAAACATAGCTACCTGCTACACAACTTCCCTTAGTTTCCGAACTAAAATCGATACCAAGGGAATCCTAAAATCAAAATACACCTTATAATGTCATGACCACACCCCCCCCATACACACGACTCCCAAGTAGCTCCAAGTTTCATGAGAAATTGCTTTTAAAATAAATGTTAAAGGATCTAGAGTTTAGGACAGGCGCAGTGGCTCACGCCTGTAATCCCAACACTTTGGGAGGCCAAGGTGGGTGGATCACCTGAGGTCAGGAGTTTGAGACCAGCCTGACCAATGTGGCAAAACCTCGTCTCTACTAAAAATACAAAAAAACTGGCCAGGCATGGTGGTGTGCGCCTGTAGTCCCAGCTACTTGGGAGGCTGAGGCAGGAGAATTGCTTGAACCCAGAAGGCGGAGGTTGCAGTGAGCCAAGATCGTGCTACTGCACTCCAGCCTGGGCCACAAGAAGGAAACTCTGACTCAAAAAAAAAAAAAATGATCTAGAGTTTAATGAACTTGGCTACCAACTGCTGAATAATCTCACGTCATCTTTTAGTTTAAAAAAAAATCAGTGAAAATATCAAATCGATAAAGCTGTTGATGATAAAAGATACTTCCCTTCCTTGAACCCAATTTTAGAGAAAATAGAGGTAGAAGAGGCAGATGAGTCAAACATGCTAAACTTTTCAAGAAATGAATGAGCAATAATAAAAAAGACAATCACAAGTGTGGCACAGACATGGGGAAATTGGAACATCCATATATTTCTTTTCATTTTTTGAGATGGAGTCTTGCCCTGTTGCCCGGCTGGAGTGCAGTGGCGCGATCTCAGCTCACTTCAACCTCCGCCTCCTGGGTTCAAGCGATTCCCCTGCCTCAGCTTCCCAAGTAGTTGGGACCATAGGCGTGTACCACCACGCCCAGCTAATTTTTATATTTTTAGTAGAGATGAGGTTTCGCTCTGTTGGCCAGGTTGGTCTTGAACTTCTGACCTCACGAGATCTGCCCGTCTCAAACTCCCAAAGTGCTGGGATTACAGGCGTGAATCACTGTGCCTGGCCCATATATTTCTGATAGGAATACAAAATGGTACAACCACTTTAGGGGAGAAAAATTTGGCAATTCCTCAAAATGTTAAACATAAATTTGCAACAGTTCCACTCCCAGATACTTACACCGGAAACATGTTCATACAAAGTGTTACATGCAAATGTCCATAGCAGCATTATTTGCAATAACCAAAAAGTGGAAACAACCCAAATGTCCATCAAAAGAGTTCGGATAAACAAAATGTGCTATGTCTATGCAATGAAATATTATTCGGCCATATACATCATTAATGATCTTTACCAAAAATCCTATTTTGTACAAATGATACACTCAAGTTGGTTAAACAGAAGATGTTTGTTTTCACTAAGAAAGGTCAAATTAGTAGTATGGAATTTCCTATCTAGTGGGGTGGCAGAGTATATTAAAAAACCAATATATCAGTTCCAAAGAGTATTCACAACAAAAAGAGACAGATGTTGGCATTTGTAACTGATGCCCAAGAAAAATACTGCCAAAGTCAAGGCAGCTAAGAATTTCTGTCTGCTGTTTCACAGGGAAATAATGAAATGTGATGGTGATATGGCATATGCTTGGCTACATCCATGATAACAAGAGCCACCAAGGCCTGGATTGGACAACTCCAAAATTGCATTTCATCATCTTCTTTTTCTATTTGTCATCATTTGCATTATCAATCTTTCTTCTGGACAAAGACAAGATTTTTTGGTCCCAAGTTTTCCCCTTATTTCCAATATTTCAGTATTTTTTTTGTAATGCTTTCCTTTTCTTTTGAGAAAGTGTCTCATTCTGTTGCCCAGGCTGGAGAAGAGAGGTGATCATGGCTCACTGCAGCCTTGACTTCCTGGGCTCAAATGATTCTCCTGCCTCAGCCACCTGAGTAGCTGAGACTCCAGATGCATGCCACCATGCTCAGCTAATTATGTATTTTTTGTAGAGACGAGGGTCTCCCTATGTTGCCCAAGCTGGTCTCATACTACTGGGCTCAAGGGATCTGTGCCTGCCTTGGCCTCCCAAAGTGCTGGGACTACAGGCATGAGCCACCGTGCCCAGCCTATGCTTTTCTTTTAAAAGAAATACATCCATCAAAGCAAATTATTTTGTGTTTGCATGTACTAACTACCTGTAAATACCAGGCATGTTTATTTAGGAGACAGACAAAAGTGGTTATATGGGCCCTGGATGGTTATCTCTTATTTTGGCTACAAAGGAATGAATAAAAATGAACTAACATATAGCTGGTTACTTCTCAACATGTAACACAGTTCATATTTCCATGATTCAAATGTATGGGTGCTACGAAATGTTTTTTTCAGCTTTTTCAATGTATCCTTTTGTTTGTGGCTTAGTCTTTCATTTACCAAATTAAATTTTCTCCCTTGTTTGAGAAAACCGTAGAGTCAATTTTTCACTACAACACAATTTTATGTATTATTATTAACATAGTCTATTATTTCTGGCATTAGATAAAGGAAATCTGTCCAAAAATACATTTATCACAATTCACATCTGAATATGAACTAGAATTACAAATGTTTTCATATCTTTGGTTTAATACAAGAATTTAATAACATTTTAGGGTAGAAAAGAATATGTTCAGATGAATCAAAATCCAAAATTGTATTACTCATTTTATACTCAATGTGCTGTTCTTTCCTTACAAACTTTTAGAAAAGTCATCTGAAATCATCTAGAAGCTTAAAAAGTTTGATGCTTCTGTTTTCCTAAGGAAATGTCCACAAATTTGTAAGCCAAAGACTTATAATAAAACCAGTAGTATTTTATCCTGTTGTAACGGTACTATACTACTTATACTATTTTAATTGTACTATACTATTAGAAGATTGACTTCAAGTACTAAAACCAATGAAATATGTATAGGTTGCCTTAAAATATCCTACCTATTGTAGTTATATCAAAAAAATTTAAGTCTTTATCTTTCAGAGTTCTCTTTCATACTATGGTTGAAAGAGATACATAGCCTGAAATTTGCTTTGAAATGATACATGGGAGTTGGGAGAGAATGTAGGGATATGCATGAAAGAAGACTGACCATGTGCTAAAATTGTTGAAGGTGGGTAATGGATACTCAGGGGTTCATTATACTTTTCTCTCTAAATTTGTTTGGTTTGAAATTTTCTGTACAAGTGTTGTTGTTGGCCAGGCGCAGTGGCTCATGTTGATAATCCCAGCACTTTGGGAGGGTCAGGCAGGAGGGTCACTTGAGCCCAGAAGTTTGAGACCACCCTGAGAAAATAGCAAGACCCCATCTCTACAATGAACAAAAACAAAAATATACCCGAATTTAGCCAGGCATGGTGGCACATACCTGTAGTCCTAGCTACCTGGGAGGCTGAGGTGGGAGGATCACTTGAGCCCAGAAGCTTCAGGTTACAGAGAGCCACTGTACTCTAGCCTGGATGACAGAGTAAGACCCTGTCTCTTAAAAAACGGAGTTTTGCTCTTGTTGCCCTGGCTGGAGTGCAGTGGCGCCGATCTCGGCTCACTGCAACCTCTGCCTCCTAGGTTCAAGCGATTCTCCTGCCTCAGCCTCCCAAGTAGCTGGGATTACAGGCATGCACCACCACACCTGGCTAATTTTGTATTTTCAGTAAAGACAGGGTTTCACCATATTAATCAGGCTGGTCTTGAACACCTGACCTCAAGTGATCCACCCGCCTCAGCCTCCCAAAGTGCTGGGATTACAGGTGTGAGCCACCATGCCCAGCCCAAATTTTTTTAACTTAAAAAAAAAAAAAAAAAAAACTAAAAAATAGTCTTTTTTATAGTAGAGAAAATCAACTTTAAGGTGGCTAATTCTTGTTCTGCATTATTAATTCACAACAAAGGCTAATGTAAAGGAAGAAATTATAATGAATTTTAGAGGAGTATATATTTTGAAACAAGTTACACACCAAAAAAAATTATAACATATTAATCAAATGTCATAACACACAAGTTTACTATCTTTTAAATTTTCCCTAATAAGCATATCTGTTAAGAGCAAATAGTAGACATACTGTGAAATATGCTTGATATCTATGAAGATGGTGCTAACATGACCTTCTTAAAAGGCAGCCCAGTAGATCAAGATTAATTAGCTGGTATACTAGATTAGCTTTTAAAAGCAAGTTTGGAACTTTCAACTCCTATGCCTTATTAAAACACAACTTACGAGTCTTAGAAACAATTCTAATCATTACCATGTTAGAGGATCAGATTTGAGTCAAAAACTTGCTGTTTAAAAAAAAGTAATACAAAGGTATTAACAAATAGCAAAAGACCATCTCTAAGTTTTGGGTTTCTTGAGGAGTTGGAGTTTCTGGCATAGGCACAGTTCTACTTAATTCCCATCCTTCCGAAGGGTTCACACTTTTACTTTGACATCATTCCACCAGTCCCTTGTGGCTCTGGCCAAATCAAACTCTGACTTGAAGTAGTTTAATGTCTAAAGTTTTAGTGAGAATAGTACCAGCTGCTTTACCAGAGTAATGTTCATCTTGCAGTTTTGCTCAACCTGAGAAATGTTTTAAAACGTTAAGCCATCTAATTTAAGCAGATCCAAGCAAAAGTATTTTAGCTTATCCACATATTTGTGTTTGCTTCACTGGGTCAGACAAATCTGGTCTCAAGTTACTTAAACAGGATCAGTGATCACACAGTAATGAGAATGATGGCATTAGGCCATATGAAAATTTCATTATTTTATGTTTAGTTACACCCCATAAATGCCTACATGCCTAGCAACATAGGACAAGCTACACGGTCAGGATCCCTAAAGAGTTGTTAACTTACAGAGGCCAAATTTAAACTCTGAAATATTAGACAAGTAAAAGTAGAATATCCCCCATTAAACATATTCTTTATTAAATCAGTATTCATTGAACAGTTATTATATGCCAGGCAAGTGGGGGAAAACACAGCTGAAGTTCTACTGTCAAAAAACACCCAAGCTAAAGGACAGAGACTACAATAAACAAGAACAGAGAAGTATTTATATCAAGGATTGATAAATGTTATGAAGAAACCTTAAGCAGGGTTGATGGTGATGGGGGTGCATACCATTCTTTTGAGGGTACTAGCAGAGGCCACTGATCAACATGAGGAAGTCACGCAGATTATCTCAGGGAAAAGTGGTCCTGGCACAGGAAAAAGCACAAAGACCCTAGATAAGAGCATTCCTAACACCATTTTAGGAACAGTGAAAAAACTGTGTTTCACTCAAAGGTAAAAGAGAAGATGGTTCTGCAAAAAAAAAAAAAAAAAAAAGAGTGGATATGCTGAAACCAGGCCCACATCCTCTCATTTACCTCTTCATATTATACAGCATCCATACACATATTCATATTCACGGCTAGCACATTAAGAAATGCTTACTACTGGCTGGGCGCAGTGGCTCACACCTGTAATCCCAGCACTTTGAGAGGCCAAGGTGGGTGGATCACAAGGTCAGGAGTTAGAGGCCAGCCTGGCCAGCATGGTGAAACCTCGTCTCTACTAAAAATACAAAAATCAGCTGAATGGGGTGGCGCATGCCTTAATCCCAGCTACTCAGGAGGCCAAGGCAGGAGAATCGCTTGAACCTGGGAGTTGGAGGTTGCAGTGAGCTGAGATTGCACCACTGCACTCCAGCCTGGGTGACATAGCAAGACTCTGTTCCCCTACAAAAAAAAAAAAAAAAGAAAAAGAAATGCTTACTATTGCCTTGACTGCAGAAAGGCCTAGACTGGAAAGCCCTGGCTAGACTGGCCTGAGTCAATGTAAGGAAACTGTGTTAGTAGCAGCCTAGTAACAAAGTCACCCAGCATGTAGCCGAAATTAAAACACCAGAAGCAGCAATAGGGATAAACATTAAACAAAGAAATAAGATTTCCTGTAAGCAAGTTAACCCAAGGAACAGATAAGTTTTTTACAAAACTTGTAGTCTCATTTGAATTAGGGGCAAAAGAAACTTACTGGGGCTGGGTGTGGTGGTTCATGCCTGTAATCCCAGCACTATGGGAGGCCAAGGCGGGTGGATCACTTGAGGTCAGGAGTTCCAGACCAGCCTGCCCAACACAGTGAAACACTATCTCTACTAAAAATACAAAAATTAGCTGGGCGTGGTGGTGGGCATCTGTAATCTCGGCTACTTGGGAGGCTGAGCCAGGAGAATTGCTTGATCCCAGGGGTGGAGGCTGCAGTTGCAGCAAGCTGAGATCGCGCCACTGTACTCCAGCCTGGGCGACAGAGCAAGACTGTCTCACAAACAAACAAACAAACAAACAAACAAATAAAAAACTTACTGAAGCACCCTGTTTCCCAAGGTAACATTTTTTCTTCTCATTTCAAAAGTTAGCACTTCCAAGTCATTGTTCAATCATTTCAATGAGCCTGCCCAGTCCACTTTGTTTGTAAATCTGCAACGCCTCCTCCATCCACATCCCATTCTGCCTAATTCTGCTTTTCTTTTTCTGGTATCACCTCCCAACATACTAGATAATGTACAGTTATGTTCATTTTCTAATTAGCTGTCTCAACCCATTCACCTCAGGATCTTGGTTTTGTTCTCTCATGTATCCCAAGCCCCCAGAATAGTGTCTAGAATATGAGAGGTGCTTCAGTTAAAATCTCTGAACTACCCATACCCTACGGCAACCATTCAGTCTGGTATAAGCCCATGTCCCCAAGTTTTCTGCAAAAACTTTTGGCAAAAGTATGCTCTGGGAAAATGATTCTAATTTTTTAAATAATGGAAAATATAACCTCCCAGCATAAATGTTAAATCCCAAAGACCCAACATCCTTCTTCAAAGTATTCTATCATTAAACCTCTTTCTGACTTCATTTGCCAATTCTATTTAATCCTATACCCTCAACTTCCCAAAAGGATTTTTCCCTGAAAGCTTATGATTAATAGCACGGTCTCTGAAGTTACACCTCCTGGGTTCAAATCCTGCCTCTGCCACTTACTAGCAACGATATTGGACAAATTAATAAATCTCTCTTTGCTTGAGTTTCCTTGTCTATATAACGGGCTAACAATAGTACCTACATTCTAGAATTATTATGAGAAGTTAAATGAGATAACACTATAAAATTATTAGGCCAGTGCTCAGCACATAGTAGGCATGTAATAGACACTATCACCTACAATGGCAAAGGCTCAGTTCTCAGCCCTTCATTCTTCACCCTCAAAGACCTTAATCTCTGAGATTCCACTATTGTCTCTATACACATGTCCAGTCAGACTCCTAAACTCACCTGTCTGGTCTTGTCAGCTAAGGAAAAATACTTTGGGGAAAACAGAAGCGTTGGAACAAAGGAAACCTGGTGGGACTTTAGATCTGGTGCTCAAGGAAGTTCTTTGCGAAGAGATGATATTTAAGGAGATAAGAATGTCAAGAAGCCAACACTGACAAGATCCAGGTCAGTGGTTCTCAAAATCTCCTCACTGGACAAGCAGCATAAGAATCACCTACAAACTTGTTAGAAATGCAAATTCTTGAGCTCCACCCAAGACCTATGGATTCAGAAACTCTGGAGTTGGGCCCAGCAACCTGTGTTTCAACAAGCCCTCTGGGTGGTTCTGAAGTACCACTGAGCTACAGCAAGATCCTGCCAGGGAAGGGAACTGCCAGGCTTGTTCCTGCCTTGCGACATTTGCACTTGCTGCTTCCTCAGATCTCAGGGAAGTGCACTTCCTCTAGGAGAAAATTTTCTCAATAATTTGCCTGCCCGACTCCTTCACCCAAGAATGTAAACTCCACAAGAACAGAGATTTTATGTGGATTTTTTTGTTGTGTTTTTGAGACAGGTCTCACTCCCTATGCCCACACTGGAGTGCAGTGGCACAATCATGGCTGACTGCAGCCTCCACCTCCCAGGCTCAAGCGATCCTCCCACCTCAGCCTTCTAAGTAGCTGGGACCACAGGCGCATGCCACCATGCCAGGCTAATTTTTGTATTTTTGTGGAGACGGGGTTTCACCATGTTGCCCAGGCTGGTCTCAAACTCCTGAGCTCAAGCCATCAGCCCATCTCAGCATCCCAAAGTGCTGGGATTATGGGCACAAGCCACCACGCCTGGCCATTCCCTATCCTTTAGAGTGGAGAGACTAAACTCCATGATCTGTCATCAGAAGCCCTCTAAAATCTAGTACCAACGCTCTGTGGTACAGTGTTACTCTGGTGAGCTCCCCAATGAACCACACCTTTGTGTAGTTTCCCTCCCATGACAATTCTGCAATGGACCAGGGACTGCTTTGACCAACAGACTGGCAGAAGTGATGCTGTGCCAGTTCAAGGCCCAGCCCTTAACTGGCCTAGCAGATTCCATTTCCTCCCTCTTAGAACACTTATTCTTAGGAGCTCCTTCTTTGTACTAATCCCTTATTCCACTATGCAACATTAGCAATAATTCAGATCAGTTTGTATGCAATCTACTTGACAAATGCTACCATGATCCCCTTGAACTCAATATAATTTTCCCCACTAAGTCCCTGAATTATTTTTGTACCTCTGGAATAGTCTGGCAAGTATTAATAGCAGTTATTTCATTCATTCATTGAATGTTTAATGGCACAATGCATCAGACATTTTTCTCAGTGCTGACAATAAAGTTAATAATCTATATGCTATCCTATATGCTAGACATCACTCTAAATACTTTTCTAAGTTTTTCCATTTAATCTTCAAGAATTCTAAGTGTCCTCATTTTACATAAGGAAACTGAGGCACAGAGAGGTTAAGAAACTTGTCTAAGATCATACTGCAAGTGGTGGAGTCAAAATACAAACTCAAACATTATAACTCCAGAGCTTATGCTATCAACTACTATACTAACCTGCCTTGTACAGATGTGAACAAGACAAAGAGCCCTGTTCTCATGGAACATGCATTCTATCAGTGATGGTTAGTGGTATCGGGAAAGGGTGGTAATAAACGATACATATAAATCAACAAAATTACTCCAGAGAGTGAGAATGCTCTGAAGAGGTAAAACTGTCATGTGTCAGTGATGTGCAGTTACTTTAGACAGGGCAGTCAGAGAAGGCCTTTCTGAGAAGGTAACATGTGGGGAAAGACCTAACAATCAGCAAAAGCAGAAGCAGCAAAGCAAAGACCTGCAAAGAAAACTTCAGTTAAAGAGAATAGCCGGTGCAAAAGTCCTAAGACACAAATAATCTTAGCATGTTTCAGGAACAGAAGTAAAGCCAGTATGGCTGAAGGATGGTGGTGGGAGGGGAATGACATGAGGTTGGAGAAATTAGCTGAGGCTTAGATCATGCAGGGCTTTGTAGGCCACGATAAGTCATTCGATTTTTTTTTTTTTAAGATGGAGTCTTGCTCTGTCACCTAGGCTGGAGTGCAGTGGTGTGATCTCAGCTCACTGCAGTCTCCGCCTCCTGAGTTCCAGCTATTCTCCTGCCTCAGCCTCCCGAGTAGCTGGGACTACAGGCACCTGCCACCATGCCCAGCTGATTTTTGTATTTTTAGTAGAGACAGGGTTTTGCCATGTTGGCCAGGCTGGTTTTGAACTCCTGGCCTCAAGTGATCCTGCCTCAGTCTCCCAAAGTGCTGGGATTACAGGTATGAGTCACCACACCTGACCAAGTCATTGGATTTTACTGATTAACACTGGAAGGTTCTAAGCAGGGTAATGACATTACCTGACCTATACTTTTGAAAAGTTAATTCTGGCTGTTGCATACTTAATAAATTACAGAAGGCCTAAAAGGAGGCAAGAAAAGCAACAGGAGGCAACTGCAATTATCCATGCAGGAAATTATGGATATGGAGATTGAACCAACAGGATTTGCTGAGGGACTCAATATGGGAAGGAATGAAATGAATCATGGATGGCTCTAACCTTCTGGACATAAGCAATGGAGTAAATGGTGATAATAATTACTGAGGTGGGGAAGGCTAGAGGAGGCCCAGGTTGAGAGGGTGACAATCATGTTTTGGATATGTCATTTTGGAAATACCTATTCAATATTCAAATGAAGATGTCAGATGCTAGATATGAATCCAGAGATGTAAATTTGAAAGTCATCTCACATATATGGCAACTACACCTAGGGTCAGTGGAGAGAAAAGAAAAAAGGACAGAACTCCAAGTTTCTGAGCACTTCAACATTTAGAAGCCAAGCAGAGAGGAAGCAAGTGCATTACCCTCTCACCCTCCAGATCACAAGTTCTTTCAGAGGCAAGACAGTGTTTTTTTTTTCATTTTTGTGGCACCCTGCAGAACTCAGCTGAGAAACAGAAACTGAGAGATGGCCACTACATTTTAATGAGTGATTGCATGCTTGTCACTTGATTTCTCAAGCTTTCACTGCAGAAATATAACTCAAGGAGATACAGGTAACACTGCCTTAACAATTGCAGGTACTCAAATATTTGTTTAATGAATAAAAGAAAACTGTGTTTTGGTAGACATACTTTAGTACTCATTGTTCCAGAGAACATACCAAGGAAAGGAAGAAACAAGTAGTAGCCCATATCCCCACCCTGCTAACCAAAGATAATCACAAACTTACCCTTCATCTTGGTCCCAACTACAGGGTAGAGGGGGAATGGCATTAGAGGCTGCAACAGGAAGAAAGGGGCTTCCAATTCCCACACTGAAGCAGAGTTCTGGCTTTCATGATATAAGTATGTATTAAGCACCAACTATATGCCATGGATTAAAGTAAATACTAAGTACTACAAATATAACAGCAAAACACATAGGGGTTCTTCAAATAACCTCCATTCTGAAGAAGATACGTATTACATAAACAATACATAGGTATATATTTCTAAGAATATGAAAGTAAAATAAAATATTCTGTGAAAACATATACCATTGCACAAAGCAACAAGGAGTGAGGGTTGAAAATACTGCAGGTTTCTCACATGAGATACCTTAACAAGTCAGTCTGGGAGGTGGGGATAGGGTGAGAGTTATCTAAGTGAAGGTAAGACGATGTATGAAAACCTTAAGGTAAGAAGGAATTTAGGATGATTCAAAGAATTTAATACAGGCCAGTGCGAGGCATGGTGGCTCACGCCTGAGAGGCCAAGGCAGGAAGACTGCTTGAGGCCAAGAGTTCCCGACCAGCCTGGTCAACATAGCAAGACCTCATCTCTACAAAAAATTTAAAAATTAGCCAGGTGTGGTGGCACATGCCTGTAGTCCCAGCTACTTGGGAGGATCACCTGAGCCCAGGAGGTCGAGGCTGCAGTAAGCTGTGTTCATACCACTGTACTCCACCCTAGGCAGCAGAGTTAGACCCTGTCTCAAGAAAAAATAAAAAAGAAAATAAATTAAAAAAAATTGGTCAGTAAACGCAGAGCCATACAGAGCACATTACAATGTGTGTGTGTGTGTGTGTGTGTGTGTGTGTGTGTGTGTGTGTGTGTGACAGGTTCTCACTCTGTCGCTCACACTGAAGTGCAGTGGCACCATCACAGCTCACGGCAACCTCCACCTCCCAGGCTCAAGCCATCCTCCCACCCCAGCCTCCAGAGTAGCTGGGACCACAGGCGCACGCCACCATGCACGGCTAATTTTTTCTATTTATTTTTTGTAGAGATAGGGTTTCACCACGTTGCGTAGGCTGGTCTCAAACTCTTGGGCTCAAGCAATACTCCCACCTCAGCCTCCCAAAGTGCTGGGATTACAGGCGTGAGATATCACGCCTGACCATATTACAGATGTTTAAAAATGTGACCCTAATATGTAGGAGTAGCCATGGAAAGGCTTTAAGCAAAGGACCAAGAGCAAACTTGTAGATCTGTGTTTTTAAAAATCACTCTGGATGGTATAAGAAGAATGAATTGAAGAGAGGAAAGAAAAGGTCCAAGATGACTAAGTTAGGAAGCTACCACAGTTGTCCAAGTGAAAAATAATGGTGGCTTGGACCAGCTGGAGCAGTGGATACAAAAGAAGCAGACAGTTTCAAGACATTAGATTCAAAACAGTAGGTCTTAGTGACTGAGCACACACAACTCCCACCATCTGGCCTGGGCAACTAAGTGGACAGAGGTATGACTACTGAGATGGGCCTCACTAGAGAAGCAGAGGTGTGATGGGTGGGGAAAGCATATCATTAAGCTCAAGTAAAAGGTCAAAGAGGTAGTTGGTTATGTGATCAGGTTTTCAGAAGAGTCTGAGGTCCTGAGAAGAGTCTGCTCAAATATGGGCATCTCCACTGAGATAGTATTTAAAAGCATGGACGTGGATGTGAGTCCGCAGGAGAAAGCAAGGAATGAACAAGAAATTTATCAATCCCAAGCCCTGAGGAAACAGTAACATGCAGAGATTAGACAGAAGAGGAGTAAACACCAGTGAAGAACAGGAAAAAGCGTTGGGCCAGAAAAGTAGGAGGAAAACCAGGCAAGTACAGTGCTATGGAAGTGAAAAGGAATGTATTTCAACTAGGTAATGGTCAACGGTGACAAAGAACACTTAAATAAGGATATTAATGATGCTTAGGTTTCCAGGCCAACTCACAGAAACTCATTTCACATATAGGTGGATTACAGCATTCCACTATCTTACAATAAAGCAGTGCAGTACACTGGTTATCACATAGGCTCCAGATCTGCAATGCCCAGGTTTCAATCACAGCACCACTATTTACTAGCTATGTAGCTGTAGGTATAAATTACTTCATGTCTCTATCCCTCAGTTTCCTCATCCATAAAAGGATGGTAAAAAGAATGCCTACCTCAAAGGATTTTTATAATGAATTTTGATAAATGAATGTATGTATTCATTTATTCATGATAAATGAATTTTGATAAATGAATGTACGTGTGACTTAAAACAGCTAGCACAAATTAGTTGCTAGTGATGTAAATGACAGCTACTATTACTTACAACACGGTTTCCATGGGAAAAAACTTTCTGAACTCTAACAGTGGAAGTTTGTCTGAAATAACCTTTCATTAACTTGAGATTGTTCTTACGCCTTACAAATTATGATCTATAAGGCCTTTTCCCAAAAACCTTGAGGAAAACTCTAGATTTGAAATGTATCAAACAAATGTCCATCATATAGAAACTGACAGGTTTTAGAAGAGCTAATCATTACTTTGGTTTTTCAGAGGAGTATTTATCATACTCATTATACCTCATACTAAAAAAAAGTATGCATTAGGAATTCTAAAAACTGGTGCCAAAAGTTATTTCAAGTTAGAAAGGCAAAAAACAGGCCAGGCACGGTGGCTCACACCTGTAATCCCAGCACTTTGGGAGGCCAAAATGGGCGGATCACCTGAGGTCAGGAGTTCAAGACCAGCCTGGCCAATGTAGTGAAACCCCATCTCTACTAAAAATACAAAAATTACCAGCCTGGCCAATGCGGTGAAGCCCCATCTCTACTAAAAATACAAAAATTAGCCAGGTGTGGTTAGCTACTCAGGAGGCTGAGGCAGGAGAACTGCTTGAACCCGTGAGGCAGAGGGTGCAGAGAGCTGAGATCACGCCGTTGCACTCCAGCCTGGGCAACAAGAGCGAAACTCCATCGCAAAAAATAAAATAAAATAAAATAAATAAACCTATTTAAATACAAAATATTTCCATTCCCTTACTTTCTGGTGCATATTCAAATACGAACACATCGATTATCACCATAAAACAGCCTGCCTCTTCCTGTTGTGACCAAGATATAAGTATCAAGTACAGAATGCGGCAATGGATCTGCAGACTCTTGATGACCTTCTTATTTCCCAAGCTATGCAAAGGTATTTACAACATCCAAAACTGCACCCCAAAAGGTATTTCCAACTGCGTGGTGTTCAGCAAAGGACATGTTCATTCATTTAGTTCCTAAAACGAACTGAAATTAGCATAAATAAATGAAGATTTATATGGCCAGTCCTTATCCCTGTACTTTCCAAGTACCTAGCAAGTACTCTGAGAAATATTCAAAAATCTTTCTATAAGCCCCATTTAAGGTATAATGCTGGAGTTTCCCACTCTATTTTTCCACTGTTAGTACAATAAAACTACCTAATAACTAACAGAGCTGTTGTATTCAAAAAAGTATTGTTTCAAACTCATGAAAAGCTGTTTATCATGTACCTTCCCATCAACTGATGAAAATGATGTATTTCAAGACCAAGAAGGCATAAAGTAGGATGTTAGATCCCTGTCGGCAACAACTGAATGTCATTACCATCTGTCAGCTTCTGAATAGGTTACAGGAAACAAGGTGACAGACAGGCTAATTCTTTATGGATAAGTATCCATATTACATCATCACAACTAGTACTCATTTGCACCTTCACAAGAAACTGCCACAAAGGGGAACAAAAACATTCAACTGATATGTGCATTATGAAAAAGCTTTTTAAAATGGTATAAAAATATAAATAAGCTTCTGAAGTGTAGAATATTTAGACTTACAAGGCATATTTCAGATTTGCCATTTTTGATATAACTGAAATCAAAGGGAATATTTGCACAGTTTGAGGAATAAAATGAGGTATAATTCAGAAGTGTAACTCTGTACAGATGGCCTGATCCCAATACAAGATGTTAACAAAGCAGGCTGGCGGGGGAGGGGGGTAAACCTGCATTTTCTATGCTGTATTTTAGCTGATTCCCCCCACCGCTTATTTTTTAAAAAAGCAGGGGGAGAGGGCATGAGGGGTAATATTTAAGATTCAATAACTTCTAGTAAACAGAAAATAAATCTCCTTTAGATTATGTGTGCCAAGTGAATCTACTTACTGTTTTCAAGTGTGTTTGGGAAGTCATTTCGTGTTACTCTGATAAATAACATTTGGAAAATATGACAAGTAGATTTTAGTTTCTTGCCTCAGAAGTATTCTACTAAAAGAAGTAACTAGGTAGTATTTCAGTTCCATTTACCTAATAAATATTTTTCATTTAAAAGATAAAAAATGCGGCACAAATACCTATCATGCTGTTCAATGATGAGAAAGTAATTTTCATTTGTAAATTATCCTAGTCAATGCAAAAAGCTACTTGAAAAAGATAGTCAAATTACCATCAGCAAGAAATAATGGGTGAAGTGCCAAACGTCTTTCATGAAACTCCTTAAAATGGCTTACTTGTATGTAATACAAAATTATGGCTATTTCTGAAAGGTTTCAGCATTTAATTACTTAGCTCCAAATTGGCACATCACATTATTTTTGTTAACTCCCAAGTCTTGAAAACAAAGGGCCTAAAATTTTCTGAGAAAGCTTATATTCCTATTCTTGAAGCAAATTTTTCTCATTCTTTCACAATCGTCCCAATGGACAATCTAAGACAAAGACCAGCTACCCTTCACACTTATTTGCTCAATCATGAACGTAGAACTTTCGTAAAAACAAAGAAGATAACCTGGAACACGGTAATGTATAAACTTAAAACAAAAGTTCACTTCTGTCGTGAAAAATAATGAAGAAATCTGATGAGATCATAAAGCCACGAAGCTTCCTGTTGGTAGCTGAGGATGAAGTCATTAGCAACCCAGGATTCCCTGGTCCATGTAATCAGAAGCTGCACCTACCAGATTCTGTATTGTTCGGGAGAGGTGGCTTTAAAACACCCCGCTCACCAATTCTCCAAACCAGACCACGCCTTCCAGTTATCATTCAAATGGGACCGTTTCACAGTGTGGCACTACTACACATTTCCCGCGAGCTTAAATATCAAGTAGGAGTCAAAATTTTAGATTCCCTTGGTCATGCAAGATGAACTCTTGAACCCCACGCTACATAATGCACCCGGACCTTAAAGGCCGAGATGGAGAAGCATGCTTTGGTTCTTCAACCTTTACGGCCTTCACTACCCCCACCCCAACCCCCGCCCCATTTCTTCCCAACTCTCAGTCACCCCGAGGCATAGAAGGCAAAGAAAGATTCCTTACTTCCTGCTGTTGTTAAAAGGGGAGGAAACCTAAGAGCAACTTTGAACGCGTGGAAGAAAAATCGCCTAAATCTTGGCCACCAGCGCAAACATATGTCACCCGGCCCTGGAGCCGCGTTCGCGCCCTGCCGGGCCCCCTCTTCTGCCCTGCGCCCCGGGGATTCTCCCGTAGCCCAGCCCTCCCGGGCCCCCCAGTGTCTCCGGGACGCGGTTCCGCGACTCTTCCTCTCCCGCCTCCGCAACCCTCACACGCCGGAGTCCCCAAGACCGCATTGTCGGCCACCCAGGTTCCAATACAATGGATCGCCACTGCCCCAAACTCTCCGGCGCCCCCTTCGGACCCCCGGCGCCAATCCTGGGTCTCACAGATCCCGAGTTCAGCCACGAGCCCAAACTTCACCATGTGAGAGCCCAGGACCCAAGAGGTGACGGAGCCCCACGACTCCCGCCCAGCTATTCCTTCACCCGCCGTCCCCAGGCGCGAATCCTGCACCGGGCGCCCCCACCTACCCGCGACCACCCCGTAGGAGTCATCAGCCGCCTCCCCCGAGCTGGCCGAGGGCGAGCGGAGGGCTCCCCGCCCGGCCCAGACCTCTGGGCGGCGCTGCAACCGAGCGAAGGCCCCAAACGCATCCCCGGCCTTTCCTGGTCCACCGCGACCCCGCCGCCCACCCTCCCTACCTGGCCTTGAGGCTGGGGCTGCTGCCGCTACTGCAGCTGCCACTGCTGCAGCTGCTGCTGGCGGCGGCGGCGGCGGCTCGGGGTTCGTACGCCCAGGCTGGGGCGGGGGGCTGCGCAGCGGCGCTGGCGGGGACGGGGGCGGCGGGGGGCGCGGGCGGCGGCGGCGGCGGCGGCTCGGTGAAGCCCGAGGTCGCGTAGTTCCTGTCCATCGTGGGGGTGGCGTAGGGAGGGCGGGCAGCAGCGGGGGATCCTCCAGGGCTCCGTGTGACGGGGGCGGGCAGGGAGAGGGGGCGGGGGAGGAAGAGGGGGCGGCGGCGGTGGAGGGAGCTGCCCCCTCACATGGCCCCGGCGAGCAGGCGGGAGAAGGGCGCGCTGGCGAGTCTGGGCCGCAAAGACCCGGGCCGCGGCGGGCGGCGAGGCCCCAGCTGGGCGTCAGGGAAGCGGAGGCACCCGCGGCCGGGACTCGCGGCGACGGCGGCGGCGGCGGCGGCCGCTGCGCCCCATGTTGGTGGATTTCCCAGGATGCACCTCCCGCCCCCCTCCGCCCCGCGGCCTTGCCCCGCCTCCCCTCTGAGCCCCGCGCTTGCCGCTCGCGGGGCTGGCGGGCGGCCGCGAGGCCTCCGCCACCGCAGGACGCTTCGCGAGGGACAGTTGGGGCCGAGAAGGCGCGGGTCCTGCGGGGCCCGGCCGACTTCAGGGACTCCGAGGGGCGCCCGCCAGCCGGAGCCCGCGAACCGCAGACTTCCCGCCTTCCGCAGCCCGGAAGGGAGCTGTCCGCACTCGCCGCGGCCCGCGTGGGAAGGGACCGCGCCTGGCTATCGCCCCGCGCGGGGGAGGGGAAGTGGAGTGGAACCCAGCGTAGGGCGCTGCTCAGGGGTAGCCGGGTCAACGCTTTGCTTGGAGCTCACTATTTGACCCTTCGGGTTATTTTGAGGGACTCCAGTACTCAGTTCCCTGATCGCGATTTCTTTCTCTGCGCCCCAATCCAGAAACAGCTGAGCGAGCTCTTTTGCAGTTCCGCTTACTCCCTCCCCAAAGCTTGCTGGGCTAGAGGACCCTTTTCCTGCTGTTAGGGGAGATTTATATTCAAAGAGATTCAAATTCAAACGTATTATTTTCCAATCCTCGCTGAAAGGGCCTTTCCCAAGGGCTCTTATTAACTGTCCCCACCCCCACCTTGGGGATTTTTCTCGCTCTGGGTTTCAGAATCTTCTATCCCAAGATAGATAACCACCTCTTCATTGATTAATCCAACTACCATCTGGATGACTTTAATTACAATAAATTTAAACTCACCATGCACTCTGATGTTGAGGGGTTTTGTTTGAGACTTGGAACTTCAGCAGGACTCTCTCCCCAAACATTTCCTATCTGATCTCCAAGCTGCTTGGTGTGCGGTAATTTAATGACTATTTGCGGTTCTTCTGTTGCATAGCAGAGTTGTATTTCTTGTAATAACTCACAAGTATTGAAACTAGGGAATCGTACAAATCATCGTTTGGCCCTTGGGCCATAAATTTAAAGGTTAAAATAACAGTAAAATTTCTATTTAATGACCACCTCCTTTTAAAAATCAATATTGGTTTAACACCTATTATGTGCTTAGCACAGAAATCTATCCCTCAAGATAAGCATAACATAAAGGTTTAAGCAAATCAGCCGTAGTGAAAGACCTAATAAACTTGATACGCTATCTCTGATGACCATTGAAAAAGTTTAAACTTTGGTAATAATCTGGTGTTGGATCTGCTATGCCTTGCGAGATTAATTTTGTTCTGGAAGATCCTGTTTTCCTCCTGGCGCCTACATCCTTTTGTTCCTATTCATTCCTTTTTGCAAGTCTTTCTGCACCTGTGATGCTTGGAGCCTGGTCCCCGGGTGGGGAAGCAAGGAAGTGAGTAGTCGTTATTTACACATGAATTCAAACGTGTAGGCACAGCGACTTTGCCAATTTTATGTTAATTACAAAATGCATTTACTGAGGATATCTTTGAAAAGTGGTTTTTCTTTGAAAAGGAATTTGCGAACTAATCTGAGTTCATGCAGAGAAGTAACGTAAATCTTCATTACATTTATTTTTCTTCCTGCAAACTGGAAATGTGGGATCTAAATTAAAAAGTTTTCACAACTAGCTATTATATTTATAAGTACTTTTGTGAGCGCTAAAGTTTTGTCTCTATGAAAAGTATAGGAAATGGAGTGGCATGCTATAAATGTTTTATGACACTTAGTTTGAGATACCCACAACTGGCACTCAGAGTGAGTTACGCAGGCAATACCAAACAAGTGGCAATAAAACCTTTATAGTCCCTCACACCATTATGTAGTTTGTTTATGTCACATAAATCAGGGAAAGATATTAAGGGAAAATTCTAGTGAGTATTTTTAGTAATATTACTCTGTCACCATATGTTCCTTTGCCATTTAAATGAAATTTCCTTAGTTCACTCTAAATCAGTACAATTATATTTATTTTCAAATGTTACATGTCTACAAATAACATCATTACATTTTTTATCAATACTATTTTTAATTGACAAATCATAATTGCATACATTTATGGGGTACAATGTGATGCTTTGATATATGTAAATAAATCTTTTAAAAATTTTGTACACTTGATGATACTATCTGAAGAATGTCTTCTTCCCTACTGAAAATATACTTCCAGCTCTGTGAACGTTTCGGGATCTCTCAAATGATTCGTAACCAAGCTGCTTCAAGTCTGATCTAGGTAATGTCAAACTCTAGAATGAGCATTGTTGGTCCCGTGTTTTTGTTTGTTCGTTTTTTCAGACAGTCTCGCTCTGTCGCCCAGGCTTGAGTGCAGTGGGGTGATCTCGTCTCACTGCAACCTCCGCCTCCCGGATTCAAGCGATTCTCCTGCCTCAGCCTCCTGAGTAGCTGGGAATACAGGCGCATGCCACCACGCCCAGCTAATTTTTTTGTATTTTTAGTAGAGACGGGTTTCACCATTTTGGCCAGGCTAGTCTCGAACTCTTGACCTCAGATGATCCGCCTGCCTCAGCCTCCCAAAGTTCTGGGATTACAGGCGTGAGCCACCGCGACCTGTGAAATACGTATTGATTTTCTAATGGGATGGGAGTTAGGGTGGAAAATGTGGGGAGATTGTTCATGGGCATGTTCTAAGGCATGACTAACTCTAGACAATAAACTCAGAAGGAAGTGGGAGATGGAGGTGAGGAAGAAGGAAAGAGTTTTTTTTGTTTTTTTTCAGACAGGGTCTCGCTATGGTGTCCAAGGCTGGTCTTGAGCTCCTGGCCTCAAGCAATCCTCCCACCTCAGCCTTCCAAAGTGCTGGAAGATTCCTTCTTAAGTGTAGGATTTACTCCAATTCATCTTAAAACCAAACTGCCTTTGATTTAATCAATTTTCAAATCTTGCCCCGATTTTAGAATTGAGATAGAGTGTTTTGGTTTTTCTTTTTTGGGGGGGAAAGGAAAGGAATATGTAAATGACTAATTGGAACTTCTGAATGGGCATTTTTTTTTCTTAGATAGCGTCTTGCTCTGTCGCCCAGGCTGGAGTGCAGTGGCGCGATTTCGGCTCACTGCAAGCTCTGCCTCCTGGGTTTTACGCCATTCTCCTGCCTAAGCCTCCCGAGTAGCTGGGACTACAGGTGCCCGCCACCACGCCCAGCTAATTTTTTGTATTTTTAGTAGAGACGAGGTTTCGTCGTGTTAGCCAGGATGGTCTCGATCTCCTGACCTCGTGATATGCCCACCTCAGCCTCCCAAAGTGCTGGGATTACAGGCATGAGCCACCGCATCCAGCCTGAATGGGCATTTTTAAAGTAGCTTACATATTTATTCATTCAATAGATATGTATTTAGAGCCTAATACAGTGCCAAGCATAATACTAAATGCTGTGAATACGAGGGTAAATTTAATACAACGCCTGTCTTTATGGAACCTGTAATTTATGAGGAAAAGAGGCAGACACACAACTAATTGTAATGCAATAGGATAGTGTTAAATATAATAGAAATTGGAATAAAGCACCAGAGGACAATTGAAAAGGAAGTAATTGATTTTGCCTCTCAAAAAAAAAAAAAAAAGAAAATAAGTATTTCAACTGGTAGAAAGATTGTAGTTCTATTGAGTACATAGTTCATTGCCTTCCTTTTGTAGTTGAGGAAGCTGAGGCCTGGTATTGAGTGACTTGCTTTAAGATGATGGAGGGAATCAGTTGGGGTGAGACCCAGGAAACCCCATCTTCACTGAGGTGGCCTTGTTCATTAGCTTGTTGGGAAATGCAGAATTTGGGGTTGCCTAACTAGAAATGTAGTCAGTAAGTCCACACATTCCTATGTTATAAATAGACCAACCATCAAGAAGAAAGATCCAAGAAGGTCAAGTTTGTGGTTTCACTGAGAATACAAGGAATATGTGTGTGAGAAGTGATTTGAACAGGGAAAGAAGATATGGTTTTAAATTTTTCCCTTCTCTTCTGGCATTGAGGGAAACTATAAGCCCTGTCTTTGCCAGAGCAGCCCTGGTTTCCATCTCTTAGGTCAACATCATAAATTAAATTAAAACATCAGAAAGGAAATAAAAATTAGCCAGGCATGGTGGTGCACCTGTAGTCCTGAGAGGTGACAGCGTGCTGGCAGCCCTCGCTTGCTCTCGGCGCCTCCTAGGCCTTGGCGCCCACTCTGGCCACACTTGAGGAGCCCTTCAGCCCACTGCTGCACTGTGGGAGCCCCTTTCCGGGCTGGCCAAGGCCAGAGCCGGCTCCCTCAGCTTGAGGGGAGGTGTGGAGGGAGAGGCGGGGGCAGGAACCGGGACTGTCCGGGGCGCTTGCGGGCCAGTGCCTGTTCTGGGTAGGCGTGGGCTCGGCGGGCCCCCCACTCGGAGCTGCCAGCCAGCCCCGCCAGCCCTGGGCAGTGAGGGGCTTAGCACCTGGGCCAGCAGCTGCTGTGCTCGATTTCTTGCCGGGCCTTAGCTGCCTCCCCCGGGGGGCAGGGCTCGGGACCTGCAGCCTGCTATGCCTGAGTCTTACCCCCTGCTGTGGGCTCCTGTGGGGCGGAGCCTCCCCGATGAGCGCCGCCCCGCTGCTCCATGGCACCCAGTCCCATCGGAGGCCCAAGGGCTGAGGAGTGTGGAGCACTGCGTGGGAGTGGCAGCCAGCTCCACCTGCTGCCTGGTGCGGGATCCACTGGGTGAAACCAGCTGGGCTCCTGAGTCTGGTGGGGACTTGGAGAACCTTTACGTCTAGCTTAGGGATTGTAAATACACCAATGGGCACTCTGTATCTAGCTCATCTAGTGGGGACGTGGAGAACTTTTGTGTCTAGCTCAGGGATTGTAAATGCACCAATCAGCACCCTGTCAAAACGGACCAATCAGCTCTCTGTAAAGTGGACCAATCGGCTCTCTGTAAAATGGACCAATCAGCAGGATATGGGTGGGGCCAGATAAGAGAATAAAAGCAGGCTGCCCGAGCCAACAGTGGCAACCTGCTGGCATCCGTTTCCACGGTGTGGAAGCTGTGTTCTTTCGTTCCTTGCAACAAATCTTGCTGCTGGTCACTTTTTGGGTCCACACTGCCTTTATCAGCTGTAACACTCTCCGTGAAGGTCTAGCTTCACTCCTGAAGCCAGGGAGACCACGAACCTACGGGGAGGAACGAAGAACTCCAGACGCGCCGCCTTAAGAGTTGTAACATTCACCGCAAAGGTCTGCAGCTTCACTCCTGAAGCCATCCAGACCACGAACCCACCAGAAGGAAGAAACTCCGGACACCCTCCGTTTAAGAACTGTAACACTCACTGCGAGGGTCTGTGGCTTCGTTCTTGAAGTCAGTGAGACCAAGAACCCGCCAATTCCGGACACAGTCCTAGCTACTCCAAAGGCTAAGGCTGGAGGATCACTTGAACCCAGAATTTCGAGGTTACAGTAAGGAATGATCATGTCACTATGCTCCAGGCTGGGCAACAGAGCAAGACTCTGTTTCTAAAGAAAAATTAAAATAAAAAAAGTTAGAAGGAAACTAAGTCCCACTATAATTTTCTCTGTCTCTGAGGCTTGACCCTATCAATCATCTTTTGACTCTGCTCATTGTTGTCTGCCATACCCCTCCAGGGAGACAGCAATGGAATCAGGAAAGCTGCTGTTTAACCCTGCTTCTCTGGAAGCTGCAGCCTCACTAGGGGGTGTCCCTGAAAGAGCTTCAAGAAACATACTTGATCATCAATTTTGTGCGGAGAGGTAGTTTTCTGAGCTACGGATATGGAGGGACTTTGGGGCACTGATGAATGGTTTCGTTGATCAAGGGCCTGCAGTAAGCAAGGTTGAATGATTAGAAACCAGGAGGTCTGGGAAAGGAGTACAATTTAAGTATGAACTGGAAAGACAAGGCTGTGGCCTTGTCATGAAGTCTTTCACTGAGAGGACATTTTATCTCCCTAAATAGATTACAGGAGATTTAAACCTGTAGGTGAGAGTGATTCTCATAAGAATAACTGATACATATTGACAATGTATGTCTTAGGTCCTGTGCTAAGGGCTTTATGTGGAATTGTCACAATCCTCCTAAGATCCTTAAGATGTGGATATTTTTTATTATTAATCCGTTTTACAGGAAATTGAAGCTTAGTGAAATTAAGTAACTTTCCCAACATTGTACAAGCTAATATAAGACAGTGATGCAGGCAGGGCCTGGTGGCTCACGCGTGTAGTCCCAGCACTTGGGGAGGCCCAGGTGGGCGGATTGATTGAGCCCATGAGTTCGAGACCAGCCAAGGCAACATGGCAAAACCTGTCTCTACAAAAAATACAACAAGTAGCTGGGTGTGGTGGCGTGTGCCTGTATACCAGCTACTTGGGAGGCTGCAGCAGAAGGATTACCTGAGCCTGGGAGGCAGAGGTTACAGTGAGCTGTGATGTTGCCATTGCACTCTAGCCTGGGCAAGAGTGAGACTGTCTCCAAACAAAAAAACAAACAAAAAACCACAATGATGCAAGTGGAGCTTCAAATCAGCAATTTGACTCCAAACCAAATAGGCTTGGTTAAAGGAGTTACTGCCAGATTTCTCCTCTAAAGAGTTACTACATTTTACTTTGTAATCAATAAGTATTTCGTGGATACTTGAATATTGTGTAAATTCCTGAGGCCGGTGCAGTGGCTCACTCCTGTAACCTCAGCACTTTGGGAGGCCGAGGCGGGCGGATCACCTGAGGTCAGGAGTTCGAGACCACCCCGGCCAACATAGTGAAACCCCATGTCTACTAAAAATACAAAAATTAGCCGGGCATAGTGGCGGGCACCTGTAATCCCAGCTACTCAGGAGGCTGAAGCAGGAGAATTGCTTGAACCCGGGAGGCGGAGGTTGCAGTGAGCTAAGATCACGCCATTGCACTCCAGCCTGGGCAGTAAGAGTGAGAATCTGTCTAAAAAAAAAAAAAATTCTCAAGGCATCATTCTTTCACCTCTGCTTTAAGCATATGTATTACTGAAACAAGCATGTTCCGTAATCCCCCTCGAAGGACGTGCGACAGGGGTGTGGCTTGCCTATTTGATTGCCACCACTGCTCAAACCCCTGATGGGAGGGGGAGCACGCAGACAGGCAGGTGCAGGAGCGCAAGTGGGTGTGTGTTACCGTGTGCCCTTTTAGCCTTGCCGTCTGCAGACAGCTTGAGTGTTAGCCAGCTCAATGGACCCTCTGCCTTTCTGCAAGAGCAGAGGGCCAGTGTGACAGCTTTCTGTATCCTGAGCTCTTGTCCAGCGTCCCAGAAGAATGAGGTCACACACAGGCTTGAAGGATGAATGTGGGGTTTTACTGAGTGGCGGAGGTGGCAGTCAGTGGGATGGATGGGGAGCTGGAAGGGAGGATGGAGTGGGAAGATGATCCCCTAAAGTTTGGCCATCCAGCAGCCAAACTCCTCCCTGACTGCCCTCAGTTGAACTCCTCTTGGCGTTCAGACATTCCTCCTCTTCTCTCTTTCCCTGCTGTGCTGTGCCACAGCTCATCTGCTTGTCTCCTTGTCTCCTCGTCTGCTTGTCTGCTCATCTGCTTCTGGAGCCTGGGGTTCCAGGTTTATATGGGTAAGAGATAGGGGGCATGGTGGGCCAAAAGGCAATGTTTTGGGCATGAAAACAGGAATGCCTGTCTCCATTTAGGGCCATGGTCTACAGGCTTGAAGGTGGGGCCTTTGCCAGGGAACCACCCTCTTCTACGCAGAATTTCCCGATCTCCCTGTCTCCTGTTCATATCATTAGTTTCCTATGGCTGCTGCAACAAATGACCTCAAACTAGGTGACAACAGAAATTCATTATCTCACAGTTCTGAAGACTGGAAGTCTGAAATCAAGGAGTTGGCAGGGTCATGCTCCCTCTAGAGGCTCTGCTATACACATACAGAGGACCAACTGTAGTGATTTTTCTAACTTCATCATTCCTTCTACATCATTAGTTATCATTCTTCAAGAAGGATTGTTCCTCATCCCTGTTAAAAAGAAAAGCCTCAGACAAATTAAATTTAATAGAGTTTAATTGAGCAAAAAATAACTTGGATTGGGCAGCCCCTGGATCAGAATAGGTTCAGAGAGGCTCCAGCACAGCTGTTTGGTGGAAGAAGATTTACAGACGGGAAAAGGAAGGTGATATACAGAAAATGGAAGTGAGTATTGATATCATTTGGCTCTGTGTCCCCACACAAATCTCATGTTGCATTGTAATTCCCAGTGTTGGGGGAGGGACCTAGTGGTAGGTGATTGGATCATGGGGGCGGGTTTCCTCCTTGTTATTCTTGTGATAGTGAGTTTTCACGAGATCTGGTTGTTTAAAAGTGTGTAGCACTTCACCCTTTACTCTCTCTGTCTTAAGCTGCCATGTGAAGAATTGCTTGTTTCCCCTTTGCCTTCTCCCACAATTGTAAGTTTCCTAAGGCCTCTGAAGCTTTGCCTCCTTTACAGCCTGCAGAACTGTGAGTCAATTAAACCTCTTTTCTTGATAAATTACCCAGTCTCAGGTAGTTCTTTATAGCAGTGTGAGAACAGACTAATACAAGTATAAAAACAGCTGATTGGTTACGGCTCAGTGTTTGCCTTATTTGAACATGGTTTGAACAGTTGGCCACCCTTGGTTGGCTAAAACTCAGTGATTGGCACAAGAATAGGTACAGTCTGTTTACACATCCAGTTAGGTTATAGTTCACCATGTACGGAGAAATTTTTAGGCTGACCTTAAAATATGTAAGGCGGCAGCTTTAGGCTAAACTTAATTTAACATTCCTTGTTTATTTATATCAATATGTACTCATGGATTTTTATTTTATTTAGCAGATTTGTAAAGGATTAACTCAGCAGGTGTGGGTTGTTCAAACCCTGTACATTGCAAAGAAAAGTTTGGCCCTTGCCTAGTTTCAAGGCTCTTAATAAAGAGTATTTTTGTTTAGTTAAGGCCTTGGGCCACACCAGATCATTCATGCTAACAATGCGATTTATAGTGGGCACTTTGGGCCACATAATATCAGCTTGACCTCTAGAGGGACTGGAGAATTCAGGTCAGCCATAGGAGCAATTACTATGACTATGCAATTGACCCCCAATAAAAACCCTGGACACCAAGGCTTAGGTGGGCTTCTGATTGACAATACTTCACGTGTGTTGTCACATAGTATTAATGTCCGCACAGCTCCACTGAAAGAGGACACTGGAAGCCTGCATCTGGTCTTTCTTGGACTCTGCACTATGTGCATTTTCATATTGTTGATTTTAATTTGCATCCTTTTACCATAATGAATCATAACCACGAGTATAACAATGTGTCTGAGTTCTTTGAGTTCTTGTAGCAAATCATTGAAATTGAGGGTGGTCTTAGGGGTCCCCAACCATAGGATTATAATCCATTACCACATTTGTTTATTTTGATGTTCAAATAGTCCCAGATTTGGACCATCATCCAAACATATAAGTACTTTAGTATACTTTCTCACAATAGGGAGCCATGAGAACATTTTAAGCAGGAGGATGAGTTGATCAAAGCTATGGAAAACATTCTCTTGCCCTTCCTAATGTCCCACTCTAGTCTACATCTTCAGCCTGGTTGGAACTGGTATGCCAAAAGACCCTTTATAGATTTATACACACATACTACACACACACACATACACACACACACACACTAAGAAAAGAAAAAAAAAACATTTCATTACCTAGGACAGTCTCATTGTACACCTGTTGTCCCAGTTGTTTGAAAACACAGCTTGAGGCAAATATTTTTCAGAGGGTTTGCCTCCAGAGGACTGAGCCCCAAACTAAGGGTGGTAGAGCATGTATCCTCAAGCCTCAGCTTCTCTTTGCTACAGCCTGGCCTAAGACACCAAAGCACACTCTGCCCTCTGCACAGCTGGTTTATATCCTCCCCCTTCCCTTAGGTACTTCTCTGTTCCCTTTATCGCAAAGCCCCAGATACGGTGGTGATAAAGGAAGGTTGTTGGGAGAGATCTAGACTTCACTTAATTATCATGCATGTTAATTTTTTTTTTTTTTTTGAGACAGGGTCTTGCTCTGTTGCCCAGGCTGGTGCAGTGGTGTGATCTTGGCTCACTGCATACTCCACCTCCCAGGTTCAAGCAATTCTCATGCCTCAGCCTCCCAAATAGCTGGGATTGCAGGTGTGCACTACCACACCTGGCTAATTTTTGTATTTTTAGTAGAGACGAGGTTTCACCATGTTGGCCAGGCTGTATGTTAGTTTTAGTATATGTAGTCTAACTGATATAGTTTGGCTATATGTCCCCACCCAAATCTCATGTGGAATTTTATTCCCCATGTGTCAGGGGAGGGACCTGGTGGGAGGTGACTGGATCATGGGGGTGGATTTCCCCCATGCTGTTCTCTTGATAGTGAGTGAGTTCTCATGAGATCCGATGGTATAAAAGTGTGGCACTTCCCCACTTGCTCTCCCTGTCTCTCCTGCTGCCATGTGAGATGTGCCTTGCTTCCCATTCCCCTTCTGCCATGATTGTAACTTTCCTGAGGCCTCCCAGCGATGCAGAACTGTGTGTCAATTAAACCTCTTTTTTTTTTTTAAGATGGAGTCTTGCTTTGTCACCCAGGCTGGAGTGCAGTGGTGCAATCTCGGCTCACTGCAACCTCTGCCTCCTGGGTTCAAGCAATTCTCCTGCCTCAGCCTCCTGAGTAGCTGGGATTACAGGTGCGTGCCACCACACTGGGCTAATTTTTGTATTTTTATTAGAGACAGGGTTTCACCATGTTGGTCAGGCTGGTCTCAAACTCCTGACCTCGTGATCTGCCTGCCTCGGCCTCCCAAAGTGCTGGGATTACATGCATGAGCCACTGCACCCAGCCACCTCTTTTCTTTATAAATTACTCAGTCTCAGGTAGTTCTTTATAGCATTGTGAAAACAGACTAATACACTAGCTAAACATGTCATTGCTTAATATCAGGTTAAATTTTGTCGCAGGGATTTTTCTGTTTCTTAAGATCCAAAAAGGTAGACTCAAGCTCTTGTGGAAATCCAAAACCCTCTCCCAAATATATACAAATTCTTGAGAGGCTTACAGTCTCTTGTGCAATATGTCTTCAGCTTTCTGCTTCCATGAACGCTTTCTGTGTTCAGTGGAAACATTGAAATTCAGCCTCTTCATAGAGTCCCCCCTCCACCAAAATACACTCACATAGAACATTTATGAAAGTAACAAAGTGAACACTGGACTATTCATTACACCTGTTTAATTTTATCGCACCATCAGTCTGTTCATGTATACTCATTTTGCTCCTGCTCATGGAATATCGTTGCTTACTCACAACTTTAAAAACTCAGAGGAACATTGCTCATGGCATGTTGTAACAGACCCCTCAAATGCCCACGTCACATCCCCTGACTCAATTCTGAGACAGCTCTAAACCTACTTCACACTCACAGCATCTTTCCTCAAGATGCTGCCATGTGTCTTTCTACATTCTGCTTTATCTTTTCTTTTCTTTTTCTTTTTTCGTTTTTCTTTTCTTTCTTTCTTTTCTTTTTTTTTTGAGACAGTGTATCACCTGATGCCCAGGCTGGAGTGCAGCAGCTCAATCAAAGCTCACTGCAGCCTTACCCTCCTGGGCTTGAGAGATCCTCCTGCCTCAGACTCCTGAGTAGCTGTGACTACAGGCACACGCCGCCACGCCTGGCTAATTTTTTTTTTTTTTTTTCCTGTAGAAACAGGGATCTCCCTGTCTTGCCCAGGCTACTCTCCAACTCCTGGGCTCAAGTGATCGTCCTGCCTTTGCTTCCTAAAGTTCTGGGATTACAAGCATGAGCCATGGTGTCCAGCCTTTTTTTTTTTTTTTTCTTTTCAGAGACAAGGTCACACTCTGCTGCCCAGGCTGGAGTGCAGTGATCATAGCTCACTGCAGCCTTGAACTCCTGGGATCAAGTGATCCTCCTGTCTCAGCATCTGGAGTAGATGGGACTACAGGTGTGCATCACCACACTTGGCTAATTTATTTTAATATTATTATTTTTGGTAGAGACAGGGTCTTGTTTAGTTGCCCAGGCTGGTCTGGAACTCCTGGTCTTAAGCAATTTGCCGTCCTTAGCCTCCCAAAGGCCTGAGCCACTGTACCTGGCCTTTATTTATTTATTTATTTATTTTATTTTATCATTTTTTTTTTTTTGAGATGGAGTCTCGCTCTGTCACCAGGCTGGAGTGCAGTGGCGCGATCTCAGCTCACTGCAACCTCCGCCTCCTGGATTCAAGCAATTCCTCTGCCTCAGCCTCCTGAGTAGCTGGTACTACAGGTGCATGCCACCAGGCCCAGCTAATTTTTTGTATTTTAGTAGAGATGGGGTTTCACCGTGTTGGCCAGGATGGTCTCAGTCTCCTGACCTCGTGATCTGCCCGCCTCAGCCTCCCAAAGTGCTGGGATTACAGGCATGAACAACCACACCTGGCCTATTTTTTTATTTTTTTAAGAAACAATGGTCTGGGAGCAGTGGCTCACGCCTGTAATCCCAGCACTTTGGGAAGCCAAGGTGGGCGGATCACCTGAGGTCAGGAATTTGAGACCAGCCTGGCCAACATGGTGAAACCCTATGTCTACTAACAATACAAAAATTAGCCAGGTGTCATGGCACATGCCTGCAATCCCAGCTACTTGGGAGGCTAAGGTAGGAGAATCGCTTGAACCCAGGAGACAGAGGTTGCAGTGAGCAGAGAGTGCACACCACTGCACTCCAGCCTGGGCAACAGAGTGAGATTCTGTCTCAAAAAAAAAAAAAAAGAAATAAATAAATAAAGAGGGAGGGAGGGTGCAGAGGCTCACGCCTGTAATCCCAGCACTTTGGGAGGCTGAGGTGGGTGGATCACCTGAGGTCGGGAGTTCAAGACCAGCCTGGCCAACATGGTGAAACCCCATCTCTACTAAAACCACAAAAATTAGCTGGGCGTGGTAGCACATGTCTGTAAGTCCCAGCTACTTGGGAGGCTGAGGTAGGAGAATCGCTTGAACCCAGGAGGTGGAGGTTGCAGTGAGCCAAGTCTGTGCCATAGCACTCCGGCCTGGGCGAGAGAGTGAGACTTCATAAAAAAAAAAAAAAAAAAAAAGAAAAAGAAAAAAAAAAAGAAAGAAGGAAGGAAGGAAAGAAAAGAAACAGTGTCTTCCTTTGCCACCAGGCTGGAGTGCAGTGGCACAATCACAGCTCACTGCAACCTCAATCCTCCCACCGCAGTTTCCAGAGTAAGTGGGACTATAGGTGCATGCCACCCCCCACCAGGTTAATTAATTAATTATTTGGTAAAGATGGCTCCCATTTTGTTGCCCAGGCTGGTCTCAAACTTCTGGCCTCAAGAGAGCCTCTAATATGCTGGGATTATAGGTGTGAACCAGGGCACCCAGCCTGCTGCTTTTTTTTTTTTTTTAAACACCACTGAGCTCTCTGGAGTGCATCTCCTTCCCAACACACCCCACAAAGCAAAAGAAATCCTCAATTAATAGAGAATGGAAGTCAATGGGTAACTGCTGCAGTCTCCCAGCTTCCAGGTGGGCTGTTCTAGGAGGCATTCTGCGCCCTTCTCTAGGAGGCAACCTACACCTCTAGGAGGCTCACAGAAGTGAGCACTTGTTGCCTACAGCAGCAACTTTAATAATGTACCCCTGGCTTGTCCATTTTCGCTGTCTCTCTCCCTGTTCTGTCATCCTTGCTTCCTTCCAAATAAGCTACCTGCACCTAAATCCTTGTCTTGGGTTCTGCTTTTGGGGAAACATTGCTTGCATTACTGTTTGATATATAATTTTAGTTTTTGTATTTTAACTTTTTAGGGATGTCCTTTCGTAAGGGGCTTTCCCTCAAGTCTAATTACTTATTGGGTCTTCTGTCAGCTGTGGGTTGATAAAGGGACAAGGTAAAGTAATGTTGCTGAAAGTGCTAAAAGCTACATCCTAAAAGAATATTCAAGAGGTCAGAACTAGGACAATATTAAAGAAGTTATCAATATAGAGGGTGAAATAGGTGAACTTGGTCTTTTTTGTTCTTTCATTTTTTGAGACAGGGTCTCACTCTGTCACCCAGTCTGGAGTGCAGTGGCGCCCTCACACTTCACTACAGCCTCAACCTCCTGGGCCCAAGCGATCTTCCCACCTCAGCCTCCCAAGTAGCTTGGACCACAAGCATGTGCCACCACGCCCAGCTAATTTTTTTATTTTTGTAGAGACAGAGCCTCCCTATGTTACCCAGGCTGGTCTCAAACTCCCAGGCTCAAGTGATCCTCCTAACTTGGCCTCCCAAAGTGCTAGGATTACAGGTGTGAGTCACTGCACCAGGACCATTTTTTTTTTAAACATTGCAATCCTTCTAAACAAAAGCTTATATGCTACTTCAGTATAAAAAAGTGATACAAGTGGAATCCCGAGGTGTATGGGTCCTCTCTCTTGCTCCTCACCCACAGCTCCCAAGGCACCTGATAGAACTCTGAAGGCCCTAGGCAAACAGTTTGAAAACTATTGCGCTAGACAAGCAGCTACAGCCCAGCGGGAGAGCAAAGGAGGACACAGAAATGAGAGTTGCTAGGCCAGGCGTGGTGGCTCACGCCTGTAATCCCAGCACTTTGAGAGGCTGAGGCAGGCGGATCACCTGAGGTCAGGAGTTCGAGACCAGCCTGACCAACATGGAGAAACCACAACTCTACTAAAAATACAAAAACTTAGCCGGGCGTGGTGGCGGCACATGCCTGTAGTCCCAGCTACTCAGGAGGCTGAGGCGGAGGCTGCAGTGAGCCAAGATTGCGCCATTGCACTCCAGCCCAGGCGACAGAGCGAGACTCCGTCTCAAAAAAAAAAAAAAATTAGCTGGGCGTGGTGGCGCATGCCTGTAATTTCAGCTACTTGGGAGGCTGAGGCAAGAGAATCGCTTGAACCTGGGAGGCAGCGGTTGCGGTGAGCTGAGATTGCGCCATTGCACTCCAGCCTGGGCAACAAGAGCGAAACTCCATCTCAAAAAAAAAAAAAAGAAAAAAGAAAAAAAAGAAATGAGAGTTGCTGATATGCAGGAAATAGGAGGGTGATTCTTGGTGCTACAATTTTTATCTGTAAGGTTTCTCATTTCAATAAAATTCTGATAACTATATTTCAATCTATTATATTTACATGCCATAATTTAATCCTTCAGCTGTTGTTGGGTGTTTGTTTCCAGTTTTTTGCTTTATGAACAATATTGCAATAAGCAACTTTCTGCGTACATCTAATTCATTTGATTTCTTTAGGGTATAGTCCTAGAAGGAGACTTTCTTTGTCATGGAACATGAATGCTCTCCCCTCTTTTTTAGAGTCAGGATCTCGCTGTGTCACCCAGGCTGGTCTTGAACACCTGGGTCACACCATCCTCCCACCTCGGCCTCCAAAATTGGGGGGATTCTATGTGTGAGCCACCAAGCCCAGATCCTCAATGCTCCTTGATGTCTTTGATGCCCATTGTCAAATTATTCTCCAGAAAGATTGTTATCAGTTTCCCTACCATTCACAGTATATCAGAGTACTGTTTTGAATGCATATGTGCCAGCACCAAGTGCATGAATACCTTTGAAATTATATTATTGAAAATAAGGTTGCAGCTGGGCATGGTGGCTCACGCCTGTAATCCCAGCACTTTGGGAGGCGGAGACAGGTGGATCACGAGGTCAGGAGTTCAAGACCAGCCTGGCCAACATGGTGAAACCTTGTCTCTACTAAAAATACAAAAACTAGCTAGGCATGGTGGCGTGTGCCTGTAGTCCCAGCTACTTGGGAGGCTGAGGCAGAGAATTGCTTGAACCCTGGAGGCAGAGGTTGCAGTGAGCTGAGATTGTGCCACTGCACTCCAGCCTGGGCAACAGAGTGAGACTCCGTCTCAAAAAAAAAAAAAAAAAAAGAAAATAAGGTTGCAACAGCCATATTTGTGTCATTTATTACGGTTTTGATAAGCTTAGAATCATAACTGGGGACCAGGCATAGTGGCTCATGCCTGTAATCCCAGCACTTTGGGAGGCTGAGGCTGGCAGATCGCTCGAGTCCAGGAGTTTGAGAACAATGTGAGTGACATGGCGAAACCCCATCTCTACAAAAAATACCCCAAATAAGTATAAAAGTTAGCCGGACATGGTGGCATTTGCCTGTAGCCCAGCTACTTGGGAGGCTGAGGTGGGAGGATCACATGAGCGTAAGAGGCAGAGGTTGCAGTGAGCCAAGATCACACCACTGCACTCCAGCCTGGGCAACAAAGTAAGACCCTGTCTCAAAAAACAAACAAACAAACAAACAAACCATAATTGGTCCCTTTTTTCTCTACAGTTAGTGCTAGACAGTGCTATTGTTACACAAAGTCCCTTTGCCTCAAGCTCTACACCAGACATCCTCTTGACCTGAGCATCTTCACCTTCTGTGCCATCTTATTTAGAGTGACAACACTCTGCCACGTTTTCAGACACTTATCTATCAAAGTCACTAAAGTTCTGTGGTTCTTCTCCAGCTATTACATTTAAGTTCCTGGACAAATGAATAAACAAACAAACAAAACCTGAGGCCAAGAGAAATTCTAGTTGAAGAACATAACCTAATGGGAAAAATTAAGTTAGAGGGGCTGAGATTATGAAAGTTCCCGTGAATGTCCTCATAAACTAAATAAAAACTAAAGATATACTCTTTGGATAGACAGAATAGCATAGTGGATAAGGGCAAAGACTCAGAAGCCAGGCTGCCTTGATTCAAATATTGCTTCTGCTAACTACAAATTGTGTGATCCTGGTAAAGCTACTTAACCTTCCTGTGCCTCAGTTTCCTCCTTTGTAAAAGTGGGTAAAAATATCTGCCTCAGAGGGATGTTGAAAGAATTAAATAACTTAAAATATGCTTAGAACAGTGTGTGGTACATAGTTTCTTTCTTTTTTTCTTTGTAACTATTTATTTTGACATAAAGAAGGTTAAAGAATAGTACAAAGAACTCCCTTATATCCGTTATTAACATTCCCTAAATATCAATATTTATATTAGCTATCAATCACTCTCTGTCTTACCATTCTATTCAACATTGTACTGGAGGTCTAGCCAGAGCAATAAGGTGAGAAAAATAAATAAAGTACATATAGGACAAAAATTAAAAAGTAAAACACTTTTTATTTGTGAATGTCATAAAAATCTGAAGGAATCTAAATTTGAAAAGTATAACTGATTGTCTTAGTTCATTTTGTGCTGCTATAACAAAATATCTAAGGCTGAGTAATTTAAAATAAACAGAAATTTATTGAGTCATGGTTCTGGAGACTGGGAAGTCCAAGATTGAGGGGCTGGCATCTTGTGAAGGCCTTCTTGCTGCATCATCTCAGGGCAGAAGGCAAAAAGACAAGAGAGAGAGAGAAAGGAGAGAGAGAGAGAGAAGGGGTTCAAACTTGAACCTGCCATTTTATAACAAACCCATTCTGAAATAATGAACTTGCTTCTGCGATGATGGCCTTAATCCATTCATAGGGTTAGAGCCTCATGGCTTAATCACCTCTCATTAGGCTCCACTTCTCAATAACGTTACATTGAGGATTAAGTTTCCAACATATGCTTTTTGGAGAATACGTTAAAAACATAGTATTCTATCCTTGGCCCCCCAAATTCACATCCTTCTCACAAGCAAAATATATTAATTTTATCCTAATAACACCAAGTCTTTTTTTTTTTTTTTTTTTTTGAGACGGAGTCTGGCTCTGTCGCCCAGGCTGGAGTGCAGTGGCACAATCTCGGCTCACTGCAAGCTTCGACTCCCGGGTTCACGCCATTCTCCTGCCTCAGCCTCCTGAGTAGCTGGGATTACAGGTGCCCACCACCACGCCTGGCTAATTTTTTGTATTTTTTAGTAGAGACAGGGTTTCACCGTGTTAGCCAGGATGGTCTCGATCTCCTGACCTCGTGATCCACCTGCCTCAGCCTCCCAAAGTGCTGGGATTACAGGCGTGAGCCACTGCGCCCGGCCAACACCAAGTCTTAACTCATTCCTGCACCAGTTCAAAAGTCCAAAGTCCAGAGTCTCATCTATATTAGATATGGGAGAGACTTATGGCACAATTCATTCTGAGGCATACTTCTTCCAGCCTTGAGCCTGTGAAACCAAACATGTTCCACTATGCACTGTCCTAATGGGGACTCTGTGATGCCTCCAGGATACTCTCTGCTGTGGCTCTGACCCTGCACCACATTTCTGCCTGGGACCCCAGGCTGTCCGAGATATTCCTTGAAATCTAGGTGAGGGCTGCCATGGCCCATAGCTTGCACCCTCTTGGCATCTGCAGAGTTGGCACACATGTGAACACTGCCAAGATTTAGAGCTTGTGCCCTCTGGAGCAGCATCACATGCTGCACCTGGCCACACTTGAGCCAGGGCTGGGGTGGCCAAGCAGTGCTGTGCTGGAATGCAGGGAGCAGAGACTTGAGGGAATGCAGGTAGTAAATGCTGATTATCTGCTGGTGCTTCTCTGGAAAGCTCACCCTCAATACCCTGCTCTTGCCTGTGATGGGAGGGGCAGCCCCATTCTCCCATTGTCTTTGTGGGATAAATAGCATCTGACTCCCCTCCATCCCTACTAATCCCTTTAGTAAACAGTTGCTTTGCCACACCCTTGGTTTGCTCTTCTAAACATGACTTTTCACTCTTTACATGGCCAGGCTGGACATTTTCCAAGTCTTTCTATTCTGCTTCCCTTTTAAATGATAAATGCCATCTTTAAATCATGCGTGTCCACTCTAAATTTACCACATATAGTTAAGAGAAGCCACGCAGCTTCATAATGCTTTGCTTCTTAGATTTTACTTCAGCCAGATGTCCTAGTTCATGGTTCTTAAGTTCTGTCTTCCATAAAGCCCTTGAGCATGGACACAATTCAGCTAACTTGTGTGCCACTTTATAACAAGGATGACCCATTTTCCAGTTTCCAATACCTTGCTCCTCATTTTCATCTGAGACTCATCAGAATAGTCTTCACTGTCCACATTTCCACCAACATTCTGGTCACGACCATTTAAGCAGTCTCTAAGAAATTTCAGACTTTCCTAACAGCTATCTCTTCTTCTGAGCCTTAATGCTCTGTACAGGTTTTTTTTTTTTTCTAGGCTTCTCCTCCAAATTCTTCAGCTTCTACCCATTACCCACTTCCAAAGTCACTTCCACATTTTCAGGTATTTGTTATAACAATACCCCACTTCTCCGGTACCAATTTTCTATTTTTGCTTTTTTGTGCTACTGTAACAGGATGCCCAAGAACAGAGATTTATTTGGCTCATGGTTCTGGTGGCTGGGAAGTCCAAGACTGAGAGGCTGGCAAGGGACTGCTTGCTGTGTGATCTCATGGCAGAAGGTAAGAGGGCAAGAAAGAGAATTTTACAATGAACCCACTTCTACAATAATGAACTCACTTCCACAATAACATCACTAATTTATTCATGAGGGTGGAGCCCTCAAGGCCTAATTGCCTGTCATTAGTTCTTACTTGCCAACACTCCTGCATTGGGGATTAAGTTTTCAATACATGCTTTTGGGGGAACACATGCAAACCATAGCACTAAAAGTTGAATTTAGCAAGATCGTAGGATACAAGTTCAATAACCAAATATTAATTATATTTTTATATACTAACAATAAGCAATTGGAAAATAAATTTTTTTAAAATCAAGGTATAATTCGTGTACCATAAAACTCACCATTTAAAAGTATACAATACAGTATTTGTTGCTTTTTGTTTTTGAGATGGAGTCTCCCTCTGTTGCCCAGGATGGAGCGCAGTGGCACAATCACGGCTCACTGCAACCTCCGCCTCCTGGGTTCAAGCGATTCTCCTGCCTCAGCCTCCCGAGTAGCTGGGACTACAGGCATGCCCCATCACGCCGGGCTAGTTTTTTTGTACTTTTAGTAGAGACGGGGTTTCACCACATTGGCCAGGCTGGTCTTGAACTTCTGACCTCGTGATCTGCCCATCTCAGCCTCCCAAAGTGCTGGGATTACAGGCATGAACCATTGTGCCCGTCCAGTGGTTTTTAATATGTACTTAAAATTGTGTAAACATCACCAGTATCTAATTCTAGAGCATTTACATCACCCTGAAAAAAAACCTCTTATCTATTGGCACTTGCTCATCATTTCCCATTCCGCACAGTTCCTGTCAATGGCTAATCTACTTTCCATTTTTATGGATTTGCTTATTCCGACATTTCATATAAATGGAATCACCCGATATATGTGGGCTTTTGTGTCTGGCTTCTTTCACTTACTGAAATGCTTTCAAGGTTTACCAATGTTGTAGCATGTGTCAGTACTTCATTCCTTTTTCTAACTGAATAATATCCCCTTGTATGTATATACTACTTTTTGTTTATTCACTCATAGGTTGATGAACATTTGGGAGTTTCCACTTTTTGGTTATTACGCATAATGCTGCTATAAACAATTTTTTATGTGAACATACGTTTTCAATTCTCTTGAAAACATAATTGGAATTCTCTTGGAAAGAAAGTTGGAAAATTAAATTTTAAAGATGTCATCTAGAACAGTGTAAAAAGACATTAAGTACTTAAGGATGAATTTAACAAAATAGACGTAACTCCTATATACCGAAACCTATAAACATTGCTGAGATAAATTTAAAAGATCTTAATACATGAGAAAACATACTATGGGCTGGGCACAGTGGATCACACCTGTAATCCCAGGATTTTGGGAGGCTGAGGCAGGCAGATCATTTGAGGTCAGGAGTTCGAGACCAGCCTGGCCAACATGGTGAAACCCTGTCTCTACAAAAAGTACAAAAATTATCTGGGCATGGTGGCATGCACTTGTAATTCCAGCTGCTCAGGAGGCTGAGGCAGGAGAATCACTTGAACCTGGGAGGCAGATGTTGTAGTGAGCTGAGATCGCACCGCTGCACTCCAGCCTGGGCAACAGAGCAAGACTTTGTCTAAAAAAACAAACAAACAAACAAAAAAACTATGGATTGTTTAATACATGTAAGTTTTTCTATAAATTAAATGCAATTCTAGTCAAATTTTCAGCAGTCTTTTGATTTAGAAATTGACTAGCTAATTCCAAAATGTATGCAATGTTAAATGTATTAAATAGCCAAAAATTTTTTGGGAAAGAACAAAGTTTGAGAACTTAGACTACTTCTTTTGAAGACTTATGACAAGGCTACAGTCATCAAGATAATATGATATTGATATAAGGATAAACTATGATCAGTAAAACAGAACCCCATATGTGTGATCAATTGATTTTCAGCAAAGGTACCAAGATAATTCAGCGGAGAAAGGACAGCCTTTTAAAGATGTGTTGCTAAAACAACTGCATAGTTGCATGGAAGAAAATGAACTTCAGCTCTTACCTGATAAACATAAAAATTAGACTTACATGTAAAAGCTGCATTTATAAAGTGACTAGAAGAAAACATTAAAAAGAAATCTTCTGGCTGGGTGCGGTATCTCAACGCCTGTAATCCCAGCACTTTGGGAGGCTGAAGTGGGCAGATTGCCTGGGCTCAGGAGTTCGCGACCAGCCTGGGCAACACAGTGAAACCCCATCTCTACTAAAATACAAAAAAAAAAAAAATTAGCCAGGGGTGGCAGCATGTGCCTGTAGTCCCAGCTACTCGGGAGGCTAAGGCAGGAGAATTGCTTGAACCTAGTAGGTGGAGGTTGCAGTGAGCCGAGATGGCGCCACGGCACTCCAGCCTGGGCGACAGAGCGAGACTCCGTCTCAAAAAAAAAAATCTTCACAACCTTGAGTAGACAATGATTTCTTAAACATGAATTCACCATCTTCTTGGTTTTGCTGGCTTTCCAAATAAATCTGGCTTTTCCTCCCACCAACCCTCATTTCTCGTGTCTGGTTTTTGAGCAGCAAGCAGCCAAACATAGGTTCAGTTACAAAATTTGGCACCCAATGTGGGGCTGTGTGCCCTCTGGTGGTCTAGCCTGCCTGGTTTCCATGGATGGAGCAATTGGCTGCAGCAGTGCACCAGGGCTTACCTGTTCATGTTATCAGGCAGAGCAGCAACCGCTTATGAGTGCTAGTTGCTGCTCATGGCTAGCTGCCTCTGTGGCTGGGATTCCAGGAGTGTCCTAGCAGCAACTGAGAAATCTTTTGTCTTGGGGACCCTCTCTTCTGTCCCCTTCATGGAATCAGCAGCCTGTAACACTTTGGTGGTGCAAGTGGTATCCAAGGGAGTTGATGGGCCCCAAGACTGGGTAAGTCAAACCAGGGCACACACGGGGAATCCTCTGTCTATGCTATTTGAGCTTTTGTGTCATTTGGACATAGCATGGGTTGCTTGTGTATCATTTGGTGTAAGATAAGATTCTTGATAACATTTCTGCAGTGCCCCTTTTCAGGAATGAGTTTGGGAGTGTTACATTTGTTTTGGTTTCTATGTGTTTATTAGTTTATTATTATTATTATTATTTTTTTTTTTTTTTTTGAGATGGAGTCTCGCTCTGTCACCCAGGCTGGAGTGCAGTGGTGCGATCTTGGCTCAATGCAACCTCCGCCTCCCGGGTTCAAGTGATTCTCCTGTCTCAGCTTCCTGAGTAGCTGGGATTACAGGCAGGCGCTACCACACCTAGCAAATTTTTGTATTTTTAGTAAAGACGGGGTTTCACCATGTTGGCCAGGCTGGTCTTGAACTCTTGTCCTCTGGTGATCCACCTGCCTCGGCCTGCCAAAGTGCTGGGATTACAGGCATGAGCCACCGCGCCCGGCCTAATTATTATTTTTAAATTTTATTTTATTTTTATTTTTTGAGATGTAGTCTCGCTGTGTTGCCCAGGCTAGAGTGCAGTGGGGCAATCTCAGCTCACTGTAACCTCTACCTCCCGGGTTCAAGCAATTCTCCTGCCTCAGCCTCCCGAGTAGCTGGGATTACAGGTGCGCACCACGATGCCTGGCTAATTTTTGTATTTTTAGTAGAGATGGGGTTTCACCATGTTGGTCAGGCTGGTCTCGAACTCCTGACCTCATGATCTGCCTGCCTTAGCCTCCCAAAGTGCTGGGATTACAGGCATGAGCCACTGTGCCTGGCCTTAATTATTATTTTTTAAAAGAATTTCAGGCCGGGCGCAGTGGCTCACACCTGTAATCCCAGCACTTTGAGAGGCCAAGACAGGCGGATCACCTGAGGTCAGGAGTCTGAGACCAGCCTGGCCAACATGGTGAAACACCGTCTCTGCTAAAAATACAAAAATTAGCCGGGTGTGGTGGCTCGCGCCTGTAATCCCAGCTACTCCAGAGGCTGAGGCAGGAGAATTGTTTGAACCGGGAAGGCGGAGGTTGCAGTGAGCGGAGAATACACCATTACACTCCAGCCTGGGCAATAAGAGTGAAACTCCGTCTGAAAAAAAAAAAAAAAAAGGAATTTCAGTTAGTTTATCTTGAGACATAGCTTACATTAAAATTATATTAAAACAAGCTTTAATTTTGAGCCATACATTGATGGATTATTTTATCACAAGTAGTTCTTTATTTCTACTCACATTATTTTATTTTATTTTCACTTTATTTTATTTTTTACTCTATTGTTTTACTTTTAGGTTCAGAGGTACATGTGAAGGCTTGTTATATAGGTACACTTGTGTCATGGGGGTTTGTTGTACAGATTATTTCATCACCCAGGTATTAAGCCTAGTACACAATAGTTATTTTTTCTGCTTCTTCCTTCTTCCCACCCTCCACCCTCAAGTAGACCCTAGTGTCTGTTGTTCCCTTCTTTGCGTTCATGAGTTATTTAGCTTCCACTTATAAGTGAGAACATGTGGGATTTGGTTTTCTCTTCCTGCGTTAGTGTGCTAAGGATAATAACCTCCAGCTCTATCCATGTTCCTGCAAAAGACATGATCTTGTTCTTTTTCATGGCTGCATAGTATTCCATGGTGTATATGTACCACATTTTCTTCATCCAGTCTATCATTGATGGGCATTTAGGTTGATTCCATGTCTTTACTTTTGTGAATAGTGCTGCAGTGAACATTCGTGTGCATGTGTCTTTGTGTTAGAATGATTTATATTCCTCTGGGTGTATATACCCGGGAATGAGATTGCTGGGTTAAATAGTTCTGTTTTTAGTTCTTTGAGGAATCGCCATACTGTTTTCCACAATGGTTGATCTAATTGACATTTTCACCAACAGTGTATAAGTGTTCCCTTTTCTTTGCAACCTCACCAGCATCTGTTATTTTTTGACTTTTTAATAATAGCCATTCTGACTGTGCGAGATGGTATCTCATTGCGGTTTTGATTTGCATTTCTCTAATGTTCAGTGATATATTTTTTTTCTTATATGCTTGTTGGCCACATGTATGTCTTCTTTTGAAAAGTGTCTGTTCATGTCCTTTGCCCACTTTTAATGGGATTATTTTTCTTTTCTCTTTTCTTTTTTTTTTTTTTTTTTTTTGAGATGAAGTCTTGCTCTGTCACCCAGGCTGGAGTGCAGTGGTGCAATCTCGGCTCACTGCAACCTCCGCCTTCCAGGTTCAAGCTATTCTTCCACCTCAGCCTCCCGAGTAGCAGGGACTACAGGTGCATGCCACCATGCCCAGCTACTTTTTGTATTTTTAGTAGAGACAGGGTTCCACCATATTGGCCAGGCTGGTCTCGAATTCCTGACCTTGTGATCCACCCACCTCGGCCTCCCAAAGTGCTGGGATTACAAGCGTGAGCCACTGCGCCCAGCCTGATTGTTTTTCTATTGTAAATTTAAGTTCCTTATAGATGCTGGATATTAGACATTTGTCAGATGCATAGTTTGCAAGTATTTTCTCCCATTCTGTAGGTCCTCTGTTTACTCTGTTGATAGTTTCTTTTGCTGTGCAGAAGCTCTTAAATTTAATTAGATCCCATTTGTCAATTTTTGGTTTTGTTGTGATTGCTTTTGGTGTCTTTGTCATGAACTCTTTTCCCATTCCTATGTCCAGGATGGTATCACCTAGGTTGCCTTCCAGGGTTTTTATAGTTTTGGGTTTTACATTTAAGTCTTTAATCCATCTTGAGTTGATTTTTGTATATGGTGTAAGGAAGGAGTCCAGCTTCAAACTTCAGCATATAGCTAACCAGTTATCCTAGCACCATTTATTGAATAGAGAATCTTTTTCCCATTTCTTGTTTTTGTCAGCTTTGTCAAAGACCTTGTGGTCATAAGCGTGCAGCCTTGCTTCTGAACTCTCTATTCTGTTCCCTGGGTCTATGTGTCTGCTTTTGTACCAGTACCATGCTGTTTTGGTTACTGTAGCCCTGTAGTATAGGTTGAAGTTGGGTAACATGATGCCTCCAGCTTTGTTCTTTTTGCTTAGGATTGCTTTGGCTATTTGGGCTCTTTTTTTGTTCTGTATGAATTTTAAAATAGTTTTTTTCTAATTCTGTGAATAATGTCATTGGAAGTTTGATAGGAACAGCATTGAATCTGTAAATTGCTTTGGGGAGTATGGCCATTTTAGTGATATTGAATCTTCCTGTCCATGAGCATGGGATGTTTTCCATTTGTTTGTGTCTTCTTCGATTTCTTTGAGCCATGTTTTGCAATTGTCATTGTACAGATCATTCACCTCCTTGGATAGCTGTATTCCTATGTATTTTATTCATTTTGTGGCAATTGTGAATGGGATTGCCTTCCTCAATTTGGTTCTCAGCTTGGCTGTTGGTGGTGTATAGGAATGCCAGTGATTTTTATACATTGATTTTGTATCCTGAAACTTTGCTGAAGTTGTTTGTTTATCAGCTGAAGGAGCTTTTGGGCCGAGACTATGGGGCTTTCTGCATATAGAATCATGTTATCTACAAACAGGGATAGTTTAACTTCCTCTTTTCCTACTTGGATGCCCTTTATTTCTTTCTCTTGCCTGATTGCGCTGGCTAGGACTTTCAGTACTATGTTGAATAGAAGTAGTAAGAGAGAGGAATGCTTGTCTTGTGCCAGTTTTCAAGGGGAATACTTCCAGCTTTTGCCCATTTGGTATAATGTCAGCTGTGGGTTTGTCATAGATGGCTTTTATTATTTTGAGGTATGTTCCTTCAATACGTAGTTCATTGAGAGTTTTTAACATGAATGGATGTTGAATGTTATCAAAAGCTTTTTCTACATCTATTGAGATAATCATGTGGTTTTTTACTTTAGTTCTGTTTATGTGCTAAATCACATTTATTGATTTGTGTATGTTGAACCAAATTTGCCTCCTGAGGATGAAGCCTACTAGATCATAATGGATTAGCTTTTTGATGTGCTGCTGGATTTGGCTTGCAAGTATTTTGTTGAGGATTTTTGAATCAATGTTCATCAAGGATATTGGCCTGAAATTTTCTTATTTATGTGTTTCTCTGCCAGGTTTTGGTATCAGGATCATGCTGGCCACATAGAATGAATTGGGGAGGAGTCCCTCCTTTTCAATTTTTTGGAATAGTTTTAGTAGGAGTGGTACCAGCTTTTCTTTATACATCTGGTAGAATTTGGCTGCAAATTCTTCTCATCCTGGGCTTTTTTTGGTTGGTAGGCTGTTTATTCCTGATTCAATGTAGGAGCTTGCTATTGGTCTGTTCGGGGGGTCAATTTCTTCCTGGTTCAGTCTTGGGAGGGTGTATATGTCCAGGAATTTATCCATCTTTTCTAGGTTTTCTAGTTTGTGTGCATATAAGTGTTCATGGTAGTTTCTGATGATTATTTTTATTTCTGTGGGGTCAATGGTAACATCCTTTTCATCATTTCTTTTTTTTTTAATTTGAGACAGAGTCTCACTCTGTTGCCCAGGCTGGAATGCAGTAGGACCGTGTCAGCTCACTGCAACCTCCGTCTCCTGGGTTCAAGCAATTCTCCTGCCTCAGCTTCCCAATTAGCTGGGATTACAGGTGCCCACCACCACACCCAGCTAGTTTTTATATTTTTAGTAGAGATGGGGTTTCACCATTTTGGCCAGGCTGGTCTCGAACTCCTGACCTCAGGTGATCCACCCACCTCAGCCTCCCGAAGTGCTGGGATTACAGGTGTGAGCCGCCTTACGTCTTACCAGCGGTAAGACCAGCCTGGCCAAGATGGTGAAACCCTGTCTCCACTAAAAATACAAAAAAATTAGCTGGGCGTGGTGGCGGGCGCCTGTAGTCCCAGCTACCCGGGAGGCTGAGGCAGGAGAATGGCGTGAACCCGGGAGGCGGAGCTTGCAGTGAGCCGACATCACGCCACTGCACTCCAGGCTGGGCAACAGAGCAAGACTCCGTCTCAAAAAAAAAAAAATTTTTTTTTGGTAGAAAAGTTTATAAAGAAAAAAATAATCGTATATAAAAAAGGATCCTGTATGGTAAATATTTGTCTTAAAGTAATATGGTTATTTAAAAAAGAAAAAAATGTAGGACAAATCAGAGTGTCCAAGCAAGTCATGGGTGTTGTGTATAAGCTGTGATAAGGTTTGTGAAGGGGGATTTACAAAAGGAATTTTGTATGTGACTAAGTTGACTACAATTTAAAAAGAATTATTCATAATAGTCCTTCTAATATTGGTCCCCTATATTAAAATAAGATTTTCTTAAGGTATTAATTTGATCTTAGTGATTTTTTTTTTTTTTTGAGACGGAGTTTTGCTCTTGTTGCCCAGGCTGGAGTGCAATGGCGCCATCTTGGCTCACTGCAACCTCTGCCTCCCAGGTTCAAGTGATTCTCCTGCATCAGCCTCTTGAGTAGCTGGAATTACAGGCACCTGCCACCAAGCCCAGCTAATTTTTTGTATTTTTAGAAGAGACAGGGTTTCACTATGTTGGCCAGGCTGGTCTCGAACTCCTGACCTCAGGTGATGCACCTGCCTCGGCCTCCCAAAGTGTTGTGATTACAGGCATGAGCCACCATGCCCGGCCAATCTTAGTGAAATTATAAGACATTTTGATTTTTAATTCTGAAACTGTTTCTTTTGAAAACTTTTCAGATTCATATCTTAGAAGTTCAGCTTTTGTTGTGTCTCACTGCTTTCAGCTTATTCTCCTCTTGAGAAGGCCTGAAATGAGAAATCTCTCCTTCTGCTTTTTTATCAGCTTCTGTAACTTTTTTCCTCTGGTTCTAACTGTTGTTGTGGCCTGATGCTGAAAAGTGGTATCTTGAAGGTCTGAAAAAGCAATGCTTTCCTCCAGTATAGCTTGATTCTGTACTCTTGACTTTTCTTGATATGTCTAAATTTTTAAATGTAATTAGGAAACTTCTCATGCAATTACTAAGAGTCATGTATTCCCTTGCTATGCTATACTCATAACTTTGAAAACACTCTTCCTGTGTCTGATTAAGTTCAGGTACTCTATTCTTCAGGTTTGATTTCTAGGTTATCTAAATGGGCTTCTCATAAGGAGAAGCAATCACACTGCAAATGTTTTCTCTTTGCCTTTCTGGCAAATGGCTTAAGAAACAAGATTTTGCATTTTATTAAGATAATTCCTGGCCTGGCATGGTGGCTCATGCCTGTAATCCCAGCACTTTGGGAGGTCAGTGTGGGCAGATCACTTGAGGTCAGGAGTTCGAGACCAGCCTGGACAACATGGCAAAACCCCGTCTCTACTAATAATATAAAAATTAGCCAGGTGTGGTAGCGCGTACTTGTAGCTACTCGGGAGGCTGAGGCAGGAGAATCCTTTGAACCTGGGAGGTGGAGGTTGCAGTGAGCCGGGATAGTGCCACTGCACTCCAGCCTGAGCGACAGAGCAAGACTCTGCCTCAAAAAAATAAAAATAAAATAAAAAAGATAATTCCTATATTGTCTGTATTAATTTTTTGCTTCCTTAGGAAACTTGAGCTTTAAAAGAGTTAAGGCCAATCACAGTGGTTCATGCCTGGAATTCCAACACTTTGGGAGGCCAAGGCAGGCAGATCACTTGAGCTCAGGAGTTTGAGACTAGCCTGGGCAACATGGTGAAACCCTGTCTCTACAAAAAAATATTAAAAAAATAGCTGGGTGTGGTGGTGTACGCCTGTGGTCCCAGCTACTCAGGGGAGCCTGAGGTGGGAGGATTGCTTGAGGCTGGGGGGCAGAAGTTGCAGTGAGCCGAGATCGTGCCACTGTATACCAGCCTGGGCAAGAGTGAGACCCTATCTCAAAAAAATAAAAATAAATAAAATGGTTAAAATTTGTATCTTCATGTCACTTTCTGTATTGCTCTTGAAGTATTTTGACTGTCACTCTTGATTAAATGAATAACTATTCTGTTTTTATCAAATATTTTGAGGCTTTTTACATCTTTGACAAATGTCCTCAAAATCAAATAAACATTGCTAATTCTTTCAACATGTAAAGCTTTTACATAAGTCAATTTTGTAACCTTGCCTTTTGGTTTTTGGTTTTTGGCTCTTTTGTTACTTAAAAGGGTTTTAAGGGTTAAGTGTCTACTCACTTCCATTCCCATCTGGCTTAGAATGATTAATTAGCTATAAGTTTTTTTACTCTAAGTCCCTTGGCCATAGGGATCCCACCAAGGGACATGATGGACCTGGGTCAGGTAGCCACACCATCCTGGCAACAATATGGGACAAAATAAAAGTTTAGCCATTGATGCTGCCTCTGGCATATCTTGATCAAAAAACAGAAATTTAAACTAAAAAATGAAGTCCTAAGCACCCCACCAATCGAATGGATCCCCCTTGACCAAGTGAACCCCCAAGAAAAAAAACTTAAAAAAAAAAACATAGTTCCCAGCCATGAGAGGACAGGAGGTCAGACACACTTCATTATACCCTTTTCCTTTTATGGTTTAGACACAGCAACTGACCAGAGTTAACATTAAAACATAAACTCTTTGTGGCAATAAGATACCAAAGTATAAATAGGACCTAAGGCCATGCCAGGCAAGAGTTAAGTCTCCACTCCAAGGAAAACATGGGTCATATGTTACATATATGTTTGTTCAATATGCATGTGTCAGGACCACCTTCATAAATATTTATAGTTCCTTCTGTAACCTGCTAAATATGTATATTTAGCCAACCTGTCAATATCCCCACAGGGGCCCTGGTTACAATTGAGAGTGAGGAACAGGTTTATTTACTTACGGATATGAGGGCCACATATTCTATAGCTAGTACCTATCTATGCCCTGATTCACAGAAGACTATGATGGTTATGAAAATGTCAGGGAAATCTATGACTTGCTCCTTCCTTCAACCTTTAGATTGTCATCTTGGAGACCATGATCAATGGGAAAAACTAAAAAAAAAATGAACCAAACTCGAAATAAATAATTTAGCAATTGCCAAATATGTTAAGACTCTAGGCACTATACTAAATTCTATTCATGAGTTTGCTTCTAGCAGGATCACTTATTCCACAAACATGGCCCTCCATCCTTCTCAACTGGGAGATCAGGTCCTCCTAAAAACCTGAAAGGAACAAGGACCTGAACGTCAGCTTGCTACCAGGTCAAATGGTTTGGTTTCACAGTTGCCCCACATGAACCTTGTTCAACAGGGAGTAGCCAGATGAGAGACAACATCCCATTGTCCCTAATTCCACAAGACTGTGGAATGAGCCTTTCACAGTGGGGAATTGTAACAGTGAAATAGCAAAGAACTAACATAACTAACTCAATTTTTGTTTAAGTGGCCTTCCACCATTCCAGCTAATTTTAGAGCACTGAAATAATATGCAAAAACAGTAATCATGTAATTTTTACAACTAAGTCTGGGATTAAAGGGTAAGTATCTAAACAACTAACTATGTTTTGTTAAAGATTTACAGGAGCATTGTGAACTGACCAAGGGCAAAGAAGTTTCCAACCTCCTCTGACCCTTGCTGGTGCCCAGATATCTGCAGTCCTCGGTCACCTCTTGATCCCAACCCCCTCCTCTTCGCTTTATTCCCCTCCCATAAAAACTCTCCAGCCAACCTGAAAATTTAAGATGGTGCTTTAGCATACAGTTCACCATCTTGTCAATTTTGCTGGTTTTCTGAATGAACCTGGTTTCCTCCCATCAACCCTTGTCTCTTGTGTCTGGCTTTCTAGCAGCAAGCCGTTGAACCTGGGTTCAGTTACACTTATGCTGAAAGTAGAACAGAGAAGGAAATGGAAAATAGTGGATCAATCAAGGAAGTACAATATTCAGCCAATATGAATCGCAGAAAAAGCAGAGAAAACAAAGGTAAGGAAACTAGCAAAAAATTACACAGGAGTATTTCCTAGAATTGGAGGGCACAGATCTCTAGAATAAAAGGAGGTATTGGATGCCATGAACAATAAATGAAAACTTATCCCAAGCCTCAGAATCATAATTTTTTTTTTTTTTTGAGTCAGGGTCTCACTCCGTCACCCAGGCTTGAATGTAATGGTGCAATCTTGGCTCACTGCAACCTCGGCTCACTGCAACCTCCACCTTCCAGGCTCGGTTGACCCTTCTGCCTCAGCCTCCCGAGTAGCTGGGACCACAGGCAGGCACCATCACGCCTGGCTAATTTTTTTTTGTATTTTTGGTGGAGATGTTGTTTCACTATGTTGCCCAGGCTGATCTTGAACTTTGAGCTCAAGAGATCTGCCTGCCTCAGCCTCCCGAAGTGCTGGGATTACAGGCATGAGCCATCGCACCCAGCTATTTTTTTTTTTTTTTTGAGACAATGTCTTGCTCTCTTGCTCAGGCTGGAGTGTAGTGACCCAATCACAATTCACTGCAGCCTCAACCTCCCAAGCTCAGGTGATTCTCCCACCTCAGCCTCCAGAGTAGTATGGAGTTTGTACCATCAAGCTAATTTTTAAAAAAATTTTTTGTAGAGACAAGGTCTCACTATGTTGCCTAGGCTGGTCTCAAACTCGTGGGCTCAAGCCTCCTAAAGTGTTGGAATTAGAAGTATGAGGCACCATGCCTGGACAGACTCATGAATTTGAGATCACCAGGGATGAAAAGATTTGAAAGGTTCCAGTGGGAAATAAAGGGTCATGTGCAAAGTCATGAAATCAGAATTATTGTTAGAATTCTTGATTGCAATCAAATGCTAGAAGACATTAGAGGAATATCTACAAAATGCCAAGGGAAATGATTATTAACCTAGAACACGATACACAGCCATGTTATAAATCAAATGTGGGGTAAAGAAGACATTCAGGGATATGCTAGGACTGTGGGTTTGATCTGATCTTCTTCAGCTCCTTTCCATCTGGGTGAATCTGCCTTGGTCAGCTAAGGAGTAGGACCAGTTTCCCAAGCTGCTCTCAATTTATTGTCTCTGATATAAGCACTTTAATCAGTTTATGGCTATTTAATGCTAGGAATTGTAGAAAAATGAACAGGTAAAATTAGTAAATAGTGAGACATTACAAGGTTTTCAAGAAACAATAAGATATTAGCATTAGTTGTTATATGATATTTATATGACTTTACAATTGAAAGACTTTTTATTTATTTATTTATTTTTTGAGACAAGGTCTTGCTTTGTCACCCAGGCTGGAGTGTGGTGGCCCAATCTTGGCTCACTGCAACCTCTGCCTCCCAGGTTCAAGTGATTCTCCTGCCTCAGCCTCCCAAGTAGCTGGGATCACAGGCTTATGCCACCATGCCTGGCTAATTTTTGTATTTTTAGTAGAGATGGGATTTCACCATGTTGGCCAGGTTGGTCTCCAACTCCTGACCTCAGGTGGTCCAACCACCGCAGCCTCCCAAAGTGCTGGGATTACAGGCATGAGCCACCATGCCCAGCCTGAAAGACTTTTTAAATATGCTTATATGAAAGGAAAGATCATATGGAAGGCACATGAAGGCCTAGAAACTGGCACATGATAGGGCCTTTGGTGGACAGAACCTAAAGTGATTCTCAAGGCTTGCTCACTTCTGGTATTTACTCCTTTGTAGAATCTTCTCCTGATGAGTTAATAAAACCCATGACTTCTTTCTAACCAATAGAAGGTGATGAGATGTCACTCTTGTGAAGATGTTATATTATATAAGGCCTCATTTTATAGCAGGCACACTCTAGAGGTCTCTTTGCTGGCTTGACAGAGTGAGGGCCATGAGGAGGAAGCTGATGTGGCAAGGAACTACAGGTAGGTTCTAGGAACAGCAGGCAGCTTCTGGAGCTATGGTTGCCTTATTGTCTCCTGCCCATAAAGGGTTTCAGTCTTACAGATGCATCAGAATGAATTCTGCTAATAATTCAAGAGAGACTTCACAGTGGAGTTTTCTATAGTAAAGCCTCCAGATGAAAACACCTTGACTCCAACCCTGGCCAACACCTTGATTCCAACCCTGTCAAAGCTTAAGTAGAGGACTCTGCTAAGCTGTGCCTGGACTCTGACTGATAGAAACTGTGGGATGTGTGTTGTTTGAAGCTGCTAATTTGTGGTATTTTGTTATGAAGCAATAGAAAACTAGTATAGTGTTCAATACATGCTAACTCGCATTGCCTAGAAAGACAAATATCATATTATCTTACTTATATGTGGAATCTTAAAAAGTCATACTCCTAGAGCCTGTAAACCCAGAAACTCCAGAGGCTGAGGTGAGCAGATAATGTAAGCCCAGGAGTTTGAGGCTGCAGTGAGCTGCAGTGAGCTATGATTGCACCACTGCACTCCAGCCTGGGCAACAGAGTGAAACCCTGTCTCTAAAAAAGAATTAGAAAGTCTTTCTCATTCCATTGTCTGGATGTGCCACAGTTTATTTATCCATTCACCTACTTAAGAACATCTTGGTTGCTTCCAAGTTTTGGCAATTATGAACAAAACTGCTTACAAACACCTGTGTGCAGGTTTTTGTGTGGGCCTGAGTTTCCAACTCTATTGGGTAAATAGTAAGGAGCATGATTGCTGGATGATATGGTAAGAGTATGTTTAATTTTGTAAGAAACTACCACTGTCTTCCAAAGTGGCTATACCATTTTGCATTCCCACCAGCAATGAACAAGAGTTCCTGTTGTTCCACATCCTCACCAGCAGGATGTTTTGTGGTGGTAGTGTTTTAGATTTGGGGCATATTAATAGGTGTGTAGTGACATCTCACTGTTGCTTTCATTTGTAATCCCCTAATAACCTATGATGTCAAACATCATTTCATATGCTTTCTTGCCATCTGCATATCTTCTTTGGTGAAGTGTCTTAGTCTTTTGCCCATTTTTAAATTGACTTGTTTGTTTTCTTGTTGTCGAGTTGTAAGAGGTCTTTGTTTATTTTTGGACACATTTTATCATACATGTCTTTTGCAAATATCTTCTCCTGGTCTGTAGCTTGTCTTCTCATTCTCTTGATAAAAGTAATTTTAAGGAGTATAAATATTAACATTCATGTCTAACTCATTTGGATCCAAAAAAATTTAAGGTGGTCTAAATGTTTAACATTAAATAATACTGAATAATAATCAATGTTCACTTATGTGTATGATACTTCGTATTACTTCTTTTAAGCTGGAAGTCTTGCTATATTACTCTTATAATTTAGCATAACATTACTACTGATTTTTTCAATTATGTATAGATATAGCTCAAAAAATAACTTTAGTATTAAGGAGTAATATATTTGCCTCAAACACTATATTAAATATTTAAATTTTGTTAAAGAAAATACCACTTTCACAACTGCAACTAAATTGTCTAAATAGAATGCTAGCCCCATTGGGTGAAAGATATACATTGACATCATGCTATAAATATTGTTTTGAAAACACTCAATGTGTTGTTCAAATTTAATTAATATAATATCATATTTCATTATATGCCATTATATGAGGAAGAATGCTTAAATGAAACAAGCAATAAATACTCACTTGGTATAAAGTTTATTTGCATGTGTAAAAAGTGTATATAACAGGAAACCTCTTAAAATAAAAACATAGTAAAGTTTTAGGAAAAATATGAATTTAGAAAATGGGTTGCTTTTTCAGATCACAAAAATACTGATATATGTGTACTAAATTACCTTAAACTGTTGAGGTGTTAGAGAAACATTTTTCAAAAAACAAAAAAAGTTGGAGGTTGGAGGAGACACAAAATATAGAAGAATGAAGGTACTGATATATGTCACACATGTTTTAAAATGACCACACAGGCAGAATCTACAAAAGAATCAAATTCTTTAAAAATACAGAAATGCTAGAGATTCCCCTAATAGTGTTAATGGCATACATAACATTCCAAATCAAATAACTAATAAAAATTTAATTCACATTCAATTAAAACAAAAACAATATGAGTAATGTGAAATTGAGTTTTTGTTAAGCACTGACAAATATTTAGCATTAAAAAGTCTCTTGTACGTCTAGGAAGAGTACACACACATAAATTATCTGAGAAGTAGAAAAATATGGATTAGAATTTTAGAGGCAAACTTGAAACCTAAGACATGGAGGACACTGTTGCTCTGCAGGTTTTAATTGTTCTGAGAGTTTTCTCTATGTATTTGTTCAGAGGGCATTAAAAGATGCAAAACTTGGGGCCAGGCACAGTGGCTCACGCCTGTAATCCCAGCCCTTTGGGAGGCTGAGGCGGGCGGATCACCTGAGGTCAGGAGTTTGAGACCAGCCTGGCCAACATGGCAAAACCCCATCTCCACTAAAAATACAAAAATTTGCAAGGCGTGCTGGCAGGTGCCTGTAATGCAGCTACTCAGGAGGCTGAGGCAGGAGAAATCCTTGAACCTGGGAGGCGGAGGTTGCAGTGAGCCATGATCACTCCACTGCACTCCAGCCTGGGTGACAAAGTGAGACTCCTTCTGGAAAAAAAAAAAAAAAAGATGCAAAACTTTGACACAGCAGTCCAGTGTGGTGGCTCATGCCTGTAATCCCAGCACTTTGGGAGGCCGAGGTGGGTGGATTCCTTGAGCTCAGGAGTTAGAGACCAGCATGGGCAACATGGTGAAACCCTGTCTCTACAAAAAACACAAAAATTAGCCAGGTGTACCGAGGTGCACCTGTGGTCCCAGCTACTTAGGAGGCTGAGGTGGGAGGATTGCTTGAGCCCCGAAGTTCAGGCTACAGTGAGTTGTGATTGCACCACTGCACTCCAGCCTGGGTAGCAGAGCAAGACCTTGTCTCAAAAAATTAAAAATAAAAATACTTTGACATAGTCAAAGTTTGTGCTCTCTTTAATTTTTTTCATTATCAAAAGAGAATATTCTATATGGAATTGTCTGTCCTACCAAAGGTATGACCTTGTAAATGTGTATTTGTCTTTTCAATCCAATTCTCCTTTTATATCCATATTTTACTCATTTCTTAATTGTAATAAAGTGGAAAACTGATCTAATTATATATAAAACCTTGTGTCAAAATAGATTTAATGATTAACACTAATCAATTGCCAGGAGACAAAACACAAACAAAACAGATAAACCAAACAAAACTAAATCTACCACCAAACTTACAACAGGAATAGAAAATGGTGAAAGCAACAGAAATATATGTGACTGATACAATGTTGAGATACTTTCCCTTCAATCATTATAAGCATTTGTCAATAACAGTTCTATCATATTTTCCTTTTTATATTTAAAGTATCATGATCTCCACATTGGATGCTCTATAAATATCACAATCTTAATGATGAATTCTAGACTCATTCAAGTTAGAGCAACTGCTTTACACAAAATGATAGCAGTAGACAAATCTAGGCAGCTGCTTGGGTGGGGTGGGGTTCTCACAGGTTCTGAAGCTAGCTTGCAGTTAGAATTTTGGGAGTCAATAGAAGTAAATGAATTCATGAAATATTTCAAATTATGATTCAGTGCAAGATACATACATATCTTATAATTCTATTCATCATAAATATTTTCATATGTATATGAGAATACATCTAAATATATGTAACATGTACATATATAAATGTATGTATATATGAGAAATGCTTGTAAATTTCTGTCCCAAACTTAGAATTATGTACAAGATCCCTGAATTTCATAATTCGAGGCAGTGTAATTTTATAGGCATGACATGGGACTAGAAAAGTGTGCTCACTCATTCTAAACCCAGTTGTCACCAACCTGCTAGATTCTGGGCAAGTTGTTCTTCCATGCCTTAGTGTGATTATGGCAAAGTAGAATTTGCCTGTAGCCCTTTAAAGAGGATTAAAATAAGTGCAAAGTGCAAAGTCACATGAGCAAAAGTGCTTATGTAAAGCCAAGACACAAGGAATAGCAAGATTTTTATATGCAACGTGGGTAACTTTTAAAAGCAAGTTAGATTTCCTAATTAAATGTAAATGTTGCTAGATGATTTATTTGCAACAAGCAACAAAGAGACTGAGAATCTAAAAGGATAAAGTCTTTGGCAGTCTGTAATGATTAAGGACTTACTTTTATCTGCCTTAAGATGATGCATCTTAAAAGAGAGACATACACTCACATATGCACTGTAATATGATTTATGCTTTCTAAACTTTTAATTTGGTAGGAACTATCAAACATGTGGGTTTGCAGTCTCACTCCTGTAAAAATTATAAAACAAAATAAACAATGATCATTTTATAAGTGATCCTAAATGATAAGAAAATGTAATAGCCTGGCAAAAACATAAAGCACAGAAATTTCTATTCTATTTTTCAGGAGTATGTTATTTCTTGAGCTCCTGGAAGAGGAAACAAACTCACATATACCTACATACCCACCCAGATAAATTTGTGTGCATATACTCCAGAAATTTATAGCTTATATGCTGCTACATTCTTAAGGAAAAACTGGTTATACATATGATTTAGAAGAAGAGACAAAGAATGGGTTTATATGATTATGGTGTTTTCCTTTTGTGTTCAGACATATTAAGAGATGCAAAAGGTTTCTGGTAACATTAATCAATATTATTTTAAGAGCAGAAAAGCAAATTACTTTTTCCACATTCTCAAACTATTACTTATGAAGTTTAACAAATTTCAAAATAATCATATGTAGTTATACAGAGAGATAATTTTGCAACGAAGATGGGAGTATTTACTAATCAGTAACAGGGGCAACTTCATTAAGTTCTAGTGTCTCCTAGATTTTAGGTCTGTTTATTTGATAGCATAACAACCCTTGCAAATCCTTTTCATTGCAAACTTGTATCTTCTGAAGAACTAACTTCATAGCAAATAGTATTTTTTAGAAGAAGAAAACTACTGACCCCACTACCTATAATAAAACATGACTGACAGCAAGAGTTAAGAACTAAACTCTGCAAAATATGATGACTGCTGTGCAATAATTTAACATATAAAACCAAGTGATTATATTAAGGTCACAGATTTATACTGAAATGTCAAATTCTGTGAAGTATTTCTAACCCCCCGCCAAAAAAATCCTAAGAAAGAGTAGGTCCAATATCTTTTTGGATAATCTTTTTTTTTTTTTTTTTTTTTGAGATGGAGTCTCACTCTGTCGCCCAGGTTGGAGTGCAATGGCACAATCTCGCCTCACTACAACCTCCACCTCCCGAGTTCAAGCGATTCTCCCACCTCAGCCTCCCCAGTAGCTGGGATTAGAGGCACCCGCCATCATGTCTGGCTAATTTCTTTTGTATTTTTGTAGAGACGGGGTTTTGCCATGTTGGCCAGGCTGGTCTCAAACTCCTGACCTCAGGTGATCCGCCCACCTATCCCTCCCAAAGTGCTGGGATTACAGGCGTGAGCCACTGCGCCCAGCCTGACTTTGGATAATCTTAATGGTTAGACATCCTTGCTTTTTTAATATTCAACACAAGAAATCTATAACCTTTATCTGTACAAAGGATCCAAAGAGTTCACTAATTCTACCTATGCTCTTTATAAGAAAGATTTTTTTTGAACCATTAAAACAAACATTACAAAAAAGTGCTTTCTTCTTAACTGCAAGGATATAGAGTCAAAAAGTCTCTTATCAAGCTGATAATGATCAAGTTCAGGTCCAAGATGCAGACAGAACTTCTGTGGTACAGTACATGGACTTATTCTTCCTTTATTCCTTGCAGTTTGTCATAAAAAGTTGGATAGTCATGTCTTTTGTGGTCTTCTTCTTCTTCTTCTTCTCCTTCTCCTCCTCCTCCTCCTTCATCTCCTTCTCCTTCTTCTCTTTTCTTCTTCTTTTCTTTCTTTCTTTTTTTATTTTATTTTTGAGATGGAGTCTTGCTCTGTCGCCCAGGCTGGAATGCAGTGGCGTGATCTCAGCTTACTGCAACCTCTGCCTCCCAGGTTCGAGCAATTCTCCTGCTTCAGCCTCCCAAGTAGGTGGGACTACAGGCATGCCCCATGACGCCTAGGTAATTTTTGAATTTTTAGTAGAGACCGGGTTTCACCATGTTGGCCAGGCTGGTCTCGAACTCCTGGCCTCCCAAAGTGCTGGGATTACAGGCATGAGCCACCATGCCCGGCCTATCAAATAACACAAATTTCTTATACCAAAATGACAAGGTAGTCAGTGAGATGGGAGAGACATAGATTTTTTAAATACCCTAAATCCTTTTGTGTGCCCAGGATATGGTGGTGGTGGTGAAACACTGTGTTTTCTGGTCAGCGCCACTGCCTGTTCATAAGAAGGTAATCCTGCATCCTCCACAGAAGGCGGCAATGGAGACAAGGCAGCCTCCTCAGGTCTTCTGAAAATGATGGAGGGAGTGTGCCTCCCCCTTTCATAGACGGCTGAAGAGCTAAGCAGAGAGACAACATTTAGGTCTAGGAAAGGTAGCATTTTTAGGTTGAGAGGACAATATTTAAAAATCCAACCAACTATCTTAATAAACATTAAACACAATGTATTAATATAACAGTTTTATTTTACCCCCAGACTCTGAAAGTCTTGGTACAGTGGAAAGACCAAGAGCTTTGAGTCAGACATGGGTTTGAAATCTGATCCTGGGCCGGGCGTGGTGGCTCACGCCTGTAATCCCAGCACTTTGGGAGGCTGAGGCGGGCGGATCATGAGGTCAGGAGATCAAGACCATCCTGGCTAACATGGTGAAACCCTGTCTCTACTAAAAATACAAAAAAAAAAAAAAAAAAAAAATTAGCCGGGCATGGTGGCGGGTGCCTGTAGTCTCAGCTACTCGGGAGGCTAAGGCAGGAGAATGGCGTGAACCCAGGAGCAGAGGTTGCAGTGAGCTGAGATCACGCCACTGCACCCCAGCCTCGGGGGACAGAGAGAGACTCCATCTAAAAAAAAAAAAAAAAAAAGAGAAATCTGATCCTGTCATTTCCTAACTATGTGACCAAAGGCAAGTTACCGACCTCAATTTTCTCCTCTCTATAATGGGTCTAGTATCAGCTGTCTCCACAGAGTTGGTTTGTGTGGATTGAGCAAGATGCATGGAAAGCTTCTAGCAGTGTCTGGTGCACTAGAAAAAGGACTCAAAACAAGTGAATTCCCTTTTCTCTTACTCCTGGATTAAAACTTTTTGAAAGTATGATGTGAAACCAAAACCAAATTCAGGCTTTGTTGAAAGGTGGCGCAATTCCAGACCAAGGAAATAGATGTCACAGAGGTAATCACAATAGGCTGATGCCTGTCTCTCTCCTCCATTCCCTCCTGCAGTCCTGCTGCCTGGCCAATCCTTCCTAAGCAGTACTTTCTTCACGTCATTCTTCTCCTCAGAAGCCAAACCCGCAGCATACTTCCAGCTGAGTCAAGTTCTAAGTCCCGTGCCTTCTCTTCAAAGCCTCTCTTACTGCAGCCACACCTTATTTTTTACAGCTCTCTGCTCTACCAAGGCAGCTTCTTTACACTCCCCTGCATGGGCAGTAAGTTCTCAGCCCTTCTCTGTGCTTTCACTAGTATCGTTCCCTTTCTCCAAATATCATCTTTTCTCCCCTCAGCTCTAATCTAAGCCTAACACTTAAAAAAAAATATATGGCTTAGTTCAAGTCTCACCATTTTCACTAAACCTTGTCAGCCAATGAAATGCAACATGGGCCTGGGGTCTTAAACCTATGGTTTTCCTTTCTCACTTGTGAAGTACAAATTATGATTTAGACATTAATAAATCAATCTATTTAGGCTATTTATAAAGTATCTATACATACATTAACCTCCTATAGTTATGGCTAATGAAATAATTAAAATGCATAGGGGATGGATAAGCCATTCTCCATGATGTGCTTATTTCACATTGCATGCCTGTATCAAAACATCTCATGTACCCCATAAATATATATACCTACTATGTACCCACAAAAAAAGGAAGAAGGAAAAAAATGCATAGATAACCCCTAACTTCTAGTCAATATTTACAATATTCTTCCCATCAAGAAATAGTTTAGCAGGCCCAAAATACTGCCAACTTTTCCAAATTAAATCAGTCAATATGTCTCTTAGAGCACCATTTTTCCTTTTGAGGTAATAATGAGATCTGAATTGGAAGGGAAGGAGAGAGAAAAATTGCGAGAAAGAAGAAAAGCAAAAGGTCTGTGTAAATCTAGGAACTGGATAATTGGCCCTTCAATAGTTGAGAGGTGACTGAGAGGATCACAAGTTTACTTAGAGAGCTCAACACAATTCCTCCTCTGTCAGAAATCTGGAATGTATTCATGGTAGGCAGTCACTTGCCACATTCATTAGCTCATGATGAAAAGTTCTATTTGTTTGCTTACAAGATAAAGGAGGAGACAGATATTTTATTTGAATAAATAAATTTTTACATGTTGACTTTCAAAATTTAATGTATGGAAACAATGTAATAATTACATCAGTCATTAAATATCTACACAGTGCTTTCTTACACATCACAATCTTACATGACTGAAATCAGAAAGTATGCACTAATAACATCTCAAACTGGCAACATCCTATGATGCCTGTTTTCCTCCACAAAATATAGGAACTAAGAAATGAAAAGGTCTTTTCATTTCTTGGCTTATTATTATTATTATTATTTTTGCGACTGAATTTCACTCCTGTTGCCGAGATTGGAGTGCAATGGCACAATCTCAGCTCACTGCAACCTCCACCTCCCAGGTTCAAGTGATTCTCTTGCCTCAGCCTCCTGAATAGATGAGATTACAGGTGCCCGCCACCACACCCGGCTAATTTTTGTATTTTTTTTAGTAGAGACTGGTTTTCACCATGTTGGCCAGGGTGGTTTTGAACTCCTGACCTCAGGTGATCCACCTGTTTCGGCCTCCCAAAGTGCTGGGATTACAGGCGTGAGCCACCGCTGCCAGCCTCTTGGCTTGTTTTTACAGATGAATGAGGCAAACTTTTCTGACGATGATCTTATTTTTTATTCTTTTCTTTCTCAGCTTCTTTGTCCCTCCCCCTACTTTCAGATTTGCAAAATATAGAAACAAATAACTCTGCTGGAAGAATTTCTTGGGACAATAGATGAAAAGTACTTTAGTAAGTATTTACCAGTTAATGCTAACATAAGAGAATGTCTAGTAAACCAAGTTTGGAATATCCTCTGAAACTCAGAGAGTTGCTGAGGGGAACAAAGTGAGACAATGGATATAAAGATGATCTGTGAACAAGAAGCATTACACTGTGCTAATGTTAAGTATAACTAATCGTACTTTTAAAATAAAAGGTATCCAGGGTTTTAAATTTTATAATAACACACCCGGAAGACATGTCATAATCACAGTGCCACTTTACTTCCTGCACTCGAATTCTGCTCCATCCCTTATGCAGGGAAGAAGCTAGAAATGTTTCAGGGGAAAAAAAAGGTAAAAGGTGAAAAACATAGTGACGCAGAAAAGTTGGAAAATGAAGAAAAGCAGGGGAGAGAAGAAAGTGTAAGCACGAGGACACTAAATAATGACTGTGCTATTCACAGTCATTGAGTGAAACTATTGCATATGAGGACATACGTGAACTTTTTTGAAAAACATTGTGAATGAGGTGAAAAAGAAGAAAAGAAGAATGTCTAAAGACAAATTTTGCCTATTTCTTCATTATCTTGTGGATTACTCCCAGCTTGTGGAGAAAGTCACACTGAATAAAATCTTAGTGAAAAGTCCTAGAAAGACCTTGCTCATTTCCTGTCTGCTAAATAGGGGAAATGAATAGAGGTCTGCTAAACAAATTCTTCCTTACTTTCTCTAACTTCTCAAATTTTTTATAGGCTTTATAGGGACAAACTCCTTAGTTCATGCCCATAATTCACATAATGCATTGGGGAACTTTTCAAGAATTCCAGCATGGGGCTAGAATGACCATTTATGTTCCTCTTCTGTCTTTGCTGGCAGCTCCTCTTCTTTCTGCACCCTTATTGTGGGCATCCTTCAGGGGCTTTGTCCTTTTCCCTTCTGTCCCTTTACTTTATTTTTTTATATTTTTATTTTATTTATTGAGACGGAGTCTCGCTCTGTCTCCCAGGCTGGAGTACAGAAGCGCAATCTGGGCTCACTGCAACCTCTGCCTCCTGGGTTCAAGCGTTTCTCCTGCCTCAGCCTCCTGAGTAGCTGGGATTACAGGCGCGCACCACCACGCCTGGCTAATTTTTTGTATTTTTAGTAGAGACGGGGTTTCACTATGTTGGTCAGGCTGGTCTCGAACTCCTGACCTCGTGATCTGCCCGTCTCGGCCTCCCAAAGTGCTGGGATTACAGGCATGAGCCACCATGCCCGGCCAACTTTATTTTATTTTATTTTTTGAGAAAGGGTCTTGCTCTGCCACCCAGGCTGTAGTGTGGTGGCGTGATCTTGGCTCACTGCAACTTCAATCTCCCCGGCTCAATCAATTCTCGCACCTCAGCCTTCCAAGTAGCTGGGACTACAGGCATGCACCACCATACTAGGCTATTTTTTGTGTTGGTAAAGATGGGGTTTCACCATCTTGCCCAGGCTGATCTTGAACTCCTGGGCTCAAGCCATCCATGTGCCTCGGACTCCCAAAGTACTAGGATTATAGGCGTGAGACACTGTGTCCAGCTCCTTTATTACACTTAGAGAACTTACCTACCCTCATGACTTCACCTTTAATCTTCCAATAGGTGAATCTTAATTTCACACCTGTTGCCTTAAATTCTTTTTTTTTTTTTTAAGACAGAGTCTCACTATGTTGCCCAGGCTGGAGTGCAATGGAGCCATCTCGGCTCACTGCAGCCTCCACCTCCCTAGTTTGAGTGATTCTCCTGCCACAGCCTCCCGAGTAGCTGGGATTACAGGCACCTGCCATCATGCCCAGCTAATTTTTGTATTTTTAGTAGAGGTGGGATTTCACCATGTTGGCTAGGCAGGTCTTGAACTCCTGACCTCAGGTGATCTGCCTGCCTCGGCCTCCCAAAGTTCTGGGATTACAGGCATGAGCCACCACCCCTGGCCAAATTCTTACCCTTTCTTTTTTTGTTTTCCAAGTAAAAAGACTTTGTGGCTGGTATGTACATATATATATATATGTATACATATACACATATTATATACAATATATAACATTACATATAATATATAAAACATTAAATTTTCCATTTTAATCATTCATAAGTATACATTTCAGTGGTATTAATTCCACTCACAAGGTGCAACTATTTCCATTATCTATTTCCATAACCCTTTCATCACCCAAACAGAAACTCTGTACATAAGAAACAATAACTCCCCATTCCCCTTGCTATGATTTGAATGTTTTTGCCCCGCTCAAAACTCATGTTGAAACTTAATCCTCAATGCAACAGTATTAGGAGGTGGGGCCTTTTGGGAGGCTTTTAGGTCATGAGGGTCCTGCCCTCATAAATGAATTAATGCTGCTATAAGAAGGGGTTGCAGGAGTAGTGCCCTCTCTTTCTTCTGCTCTTCTGCCATGTGAGGAATAATGTTCCTCCCCTCTAGAGGATGCAGTGTTCAAGGCACCATCTTGGAAGCAGAGACTGGGTCCTTATGAGACATACAACCTGCTGGTCCCTTGATCTTAGACTTCCCAGCCTCCAGAACTACAAGAGATAAATTTCTGTTCCTTATAAATTACCCAGTCTCAAGTATTCTGCTATAGCAGCACAAATAAACTAAGACATCCCTATCCTCCCAGCCCAAGGTAATCTCTAATCTACTTTTTGTCTCTGTGAATTTGCCTATCCTAGATCTTGCCTATCCTAGGCATTACATATAAGTGGAATCATACAACAGTTGTTCTTTTGTGTCTGGCTTCTTTCACTTGGTATCATGTTTTCAGGGTTCATCCATATTGTAGCACGTATCAGAACTTCATTATTTTTTATGGCTGAATAATATTTCATTGCATGGATATACCACATTTTGATGGACACTTGGGCTATTTCCATCAACCCTTTGGTTATTTGAATAATGCTACTATGGACATTGGTGTACAAGTATCTGTTTGAGTTCCTGTTTTCAATGCTTTTGGATACAAATCTAGAAGTGAAACTGCTGGGTCATACAGTAATTCTACATTTAACTTTCTGAGGAACTGTCAAACTTTTCCACAGTGGCTGTACCGTTTTACATTCCTACTGGCAATGTGAATATGAGGTTCCAATTTCTCCATATCCTCGCCAATACTTGTTATTTTAAAAATTATTATTCCAGCTATTCTAGAATAGCTGGAATTACAGGTGCATGCCACTGCACCTGGCTCTCACTGTGGTTTTGATTTAATTTCCCTTTCCTTAATATCTAACAACATTGAACACCTTTCAAGTGCTTGTTGGCCATTCATATATTTTTAGAGAAATGTCCATTCAAGTCCTTCACTAAAAAAAACGTGGGTTATTAGTCTCTTTGTTGTTTTATCCTTTCTTGAGCTATCTTTAAAATATAAACTATTTTGGCCGGGTGCAGTGGCTCACACCTGTAATTTGCCATTGCACTCCAGCCTGGGCAACAAGAGCGAAACTCTGTCTCAAAAAAAATAAATAAATAAAATATGAACCATTTTGTCCTGTCAAATCCAAATTTTGTTTTCTTGCTCCCAGCTTCCATACATATATTTCTTCAGCACAGAAGCTTAGGTTCAAGTCATATTGTTCCAACATTCCCAAGTTCTTTCTTTATTTTTTTTTTTGAGACAGAGTCTCGTTCTGTTGCCAGGCTGGAGTGCAGTGGCGGGATCTCGGCTCACTGCAACCTCTGCCTCCCAGGTTCAAGCAATTCTCCTGCCTCAGCCTCCCGAGTAGCTGGGACTATATGTGTGTGCCACCATGTCCAGCTAATTTTTGTATTTTTAGTAGACACGGGGTTTCACCGTGTTGGCCAGGATGGTCTCAATCTCTTGACCTCGTGATCCGCCTGCCTCGGCCTCCTAAAGTGCTGGGATTACAGGCATGAGCCACCGCGTGTGGCCCCAAGTTCTTTCTAATCAGGCATCAAGTTCTACGACTTCTTTTTCCTTGAAGACAGGTTCAAACTCATTACCTCACATCTGAATTGCCATGCTAGCATCCTTGTTGGTTTTCCTCTGTCTTCCTGTTTCTCCCAGCTCTAGTACACATTACTTAAGAAAACCAGACTATAAGAGCCATGGGGGCAGACACTATGCTTGTTTTACTCACCGCTGTGTTCCTAGAACCTAGTATATTACCACATTCTCAAAAACCTTCCCCAAAGGCTATTTTTCCTTTTAATCCTCTGCTTAAGTGGTCCACCTCATGTCTGGCAACTCAAATGTAAATTCGTGGCTGCCATTCCAATTATACAACATTTCCCAAGTCACTCACTACTCTTCATCACAGGTCTTAAATCTCTGGTCAAGGGCTTGGCCCCATGGCTCATGCCTGTAATCCTAGCACTTTGAGAGGCAGAGGCAGGAAGATTGCCTGAGGCCAGGAGTTCCAGATCAGCCTGGGCAACATAGTGAGATCCTGTCTCTACAATTATTATTATTATTATTATTTTTTATTATTAAGACAGGGTCTCTCTCCCATTGTCCAGGCTGGAGTGTAATGGCATGATCACGGCTCACAGTAGCCTCCACTTCCTGGGCTCAGGTGCTCCTCCCACCTAAGCCCGCCTAGTAGTTGGGTATAAAGGCACACACCACCACACCTGGCTAATTTTTTTTGTATTTTTAGTAGAGATGGGGTTTTATCATGTTGCCCAGGCTGATCTCAAACTCGTGGGCTCAAGTGATTTTCCTGCCTCGGCTTCCCAAAGCTGGGACTACAGGCATGAGCCACCGTGCCTGGCCTTGGCTTACAATTATTTTTTTAAAAAATCTTTGGTCAAGACTATTTTGCTTATCATCTCCTATATGAGCCTTGGTAGTACCTGTCTTTGCTCCTGTGGGTCCACTTTCTTGAAACACCCCTTCCTAGTTAATTCCTCTAAAACCCATGTCCGCCAAAGTGACTAGTTGTATCCCACACTGATGGTATGCCTGCTTGACTTGACATTCCTAGCCATTTATAAGAACAGTGTTATCTTTTTTTTTTTTTTTGAAACGGAGTCTTGCTCTGTTGCCCAGGCTGGAGTGCAGTGGCACAATCTCAGCTCACTGCAAGCTCCCGGGTTCACGCCACTCTCCTGCCTCAGCCTCCCAAGTAGCTGGGACTACAGGCACCCGCCATCACGCCCGGCTGATTTTTTTTTATTTTTATTTTTAGGAGAGACGGGGTTTCACCGTTTTAGCCAGGATGGTCTCGATCTCCTGACTTCGTGATCCGCCCGTCTCGGCCTCCCAAAGTGCTGGGATTACAGACGTGAGCCACCGCACCCAGCCGAGTGTTCTCTATCTTACAAGTTTATATCCAAGTTGCTTTTTTGTTATGTAGTTGCCTCACTCAAATGGTAATCACTCCATGTAATCTCCTTTATGTGCCATAATACACTATACAAATACTGAGAGTACTAAATGAGAAGGTAGTGTGAAAGTGGTGTACAGTATATGGTTAGCAACAGCAGGTGATGTGGAAGATGGTTATAAATACAGCTAAGGGAGATTTTTTTTATTTTTATTTTTATTTTTTTTACAAGATCATAAAGGTCAGGTAAGCTAGGGAGATTTCATAGGCCAAATAAAATTTTTGTAGATCTACCAAATTTGAAGAAAACTTATTTGCAATATAATACTTTCTGATTATACTATCTATATTACCTTCTGATAATATGTTTTAATTTTATATGAACACTGGAGAATCTGCAGTTCATTTACAGTCTAGACATATTTTTAAAGAAATACAAATATTGGATGGGAATACATAAACATTCCAGTGAAAGCTTTTTAGAAAAATCTTAGTTTGCAAATTCATAATAATAATAGCTGGGCCGGGTGCAGTGGCTCATGCCTGTAATCCCAGCACTTTGGGAGGCCAAGGCACGAGGATTACTTGAGGTCAGGAGTTCAAGTCCAGCCTGGCCAACATGGTGAAACCTCGTCTCTACTAAAAATACAAAAATTAGCTGGGCATGGTGGCAGATGCCTGTAATCTCAGCTACTTGGGAGGCTGAGGCAGGAGAATCGCTTGAACCCAGGAGGCAGAGGTTGCAGTGAGCCGAGATCATGCCACTGTACTCCAGCCTGGGTAACAGAGCTAGACTCCGTCTCAAAATAATAATAATAATAATAATAATAATAATAATAATAATAATAATAATAGCTAACATTTATTGAGTACTTGCTACTCTTGCTACCAAGCACTCTCTTAAGTACTTTTTGTGTATCACGTCATTTAAATCCTGTAAGTCCCTTATGACATACATACAGTTATTATCTGAGCTACCATACTACACAAACCAGAGGGTACCATTCATACAGTAGCCCATGTGAATGGCAACTCTCTGGAACTATGTAGTGTGGTGGCTCAGATTATTACCTTCAATTTACTCACAGAGAAACTGAGGCAGAGTATAAGTTTAAGTAACATTTCCAAAGTCAAACGGCTAGTTAGTGGCGTACCAGGGTTTTGAATCCAGGCAGTCTGGCTCCAGAGCTCACACAGTGAACCACTATACCATATCTATTTCTAGGATAGGGAGAATACACCTTGGTGGTCTCTTCCAGAAACAGGAGCTGGGCTAGGACTAATGTATTTTAGAAAGGAATCACATCTTACTATATTTTAGAATTTAAAAAAACTTCATCAAACATAAATGAAATGCTGTAATAAAACATTTTGAAGAGACTCTATTAATGATTTAAAATTACTGCGCTAGATAAGCCAGTCAAAAATAGACTAATACTGTATGATTCCACTTACATGAGGTGTTATTGTAGTAAAATTCAGAGACAAAAGGTAAAATAGTGGTTGCTAAAGCCTAGGGAGAGGGGAGAATGGGAAACAGTTTGTTCACTGGGCACAGAACTTCACTGTTGCAAAATAAAAAAAAAAAAAACAGAAAAACGGGAGATTGGTTGCACAACAGTGAATCAACTTAATACTACTGAACTGTATACTTAAAAACGGTTAAGATGGTAAATTTTATGTTACATATATTTTACTATTTTTTAAAAATGTACTGCACTGGAAATATATTTAAATTATATTGTTCAGTGCCAAAGGCAAGTTGCAGAGGAGGACATGTAACGAACATTTCTTTTGAAAACATAAAATATGTTATTAGGTTGGTGCAAAAGCAATTGCCAGTACTTTAAATGGCAAAAACCGCAATTGCTTTTGCACCAACTGAATAGTATATGCATAGAAAAAAATCTGGAGTTTTACATACCAAATTCATAATAGTGGTTATTTTTGAAAAGTAGGATTATGAGGACTTTCATTTTTTATATTATACCTTTCTATAATATTTGAATTTTAAAATAATGCATGTATTACTTTTGTAGGCAAAAAACAGGATAAAATCTTTTTAAAGACCTCAGCCTCCATAATCAGCACATTTTCAGATGCTCTTATCACAATGGAAATGATTTTTTAAGCAATTAACACCAGATGAAATGAAACAACCTACTTTAAACTTTCTTCTGGCTGGGCACGGTGGCTCATGCCTGTAATCCGAAAACTTTGGGAGGCCGAAGCAGATGGATCACTTGAAGCCAGGAGTTGGAGACTAGCCTGGCCAACATGGTGAAACCCCGTCTCTACAAAAATTAGCTGGGTGTGGTGGCACACGCCTGTAATCCTAGCTACTCAGGAGACTGAGGCAGGGGAATTGCTTGAACCCAGGAGGCAGAGGTTGCAGTGAGCCGAGATCACACCATTGCACTCCAGCCTGGGCAACAGAGCAAGACTCCATCTCTAAATAATAATAATAATACACTTTCTTCAAGAGAAAATATTTTTATTAAATTTTAGAGGAAAATGTATCTTTTATATTTACTAATTTCATTTACATGTGTATATATGTAAAAGCTTCTTTTTAGTTTTTAATTAATTAATTAATGTTTTGAGACAGAGTTTCACTCTCGCTGCCTAGGCTAGAGTGCAATGGCTTGATCTCGGCTCACCACAACCTCTGCCTCCTGGGTTCAAGTGATTCTCCTGCCTCAGCCTCCCGAGTAGCTGGGATTACAGGCATGTGCCACCACGCCTGGCTAATTTTGTATTTTTAGTAGAGACGGGGTTTCTCCTTGTTGGTCAGGCTGGTCTTGAACTCCTGACCTCAGGTGATCTGCCCGGCTTGGCCTTCCAAAATGCTGGGATTACAGGTGTGAGCCACTGCTCCCAGCCAAGCTTCTTTTTAATAAATAACTTTAAAAACTCTAATTCTGACAATATAATCAAGGGCAAAAAATTTGTTCTCATCTTTGGCAAAATAAAAAAATATTAAGGAACTTTAAGAGGAATCACAGTCTATTCCTTTCATTCCTCTTTTAGATGAGGAAAGATCTTAAAAAAATCAAGGAATTTGCTTCAAGCTCCATAAATAGTGGCAAAATTAACATGAGAATTTTTGCCTCCAAATTCCTAGTTTGGTGCCCTTCCTATACATGTCATTCTATTTTCATTTTATATCTGGATATGAAACAATGAAGAAAAACTTTAAACCAATTAAACAGTTGTGATTAAAGTCTTCCAGTTTCTTATAGGCCTATTTTTATATTGTATTTAGACTTGAATAGTTGTACAATCCTCTTTTAAAATGGACAAAAACTCTAAATATTTAACCAATTAAAAATAATTTTTGATGCCATGTTGTTGTAATTATCTTCTGTTTTTTACTGACTGCCAATAGAATTTTAGAACCACTACAGAATTAAGTATTTTGAAAAGATCTTCACATAAATTTGGAATACTTAACATTGGTTCATTACTATTATCTAACATGTAGCTATATCCAAATTTTCTCCTAAATTTTCCTTTTTGTTGTTGTTGTTGTTGTCCAGGCTGGAGTGCAGTGGTGCAATTATGGCTCACTCCAGCCTTGACTTCCTAGGCTCAGATGATCCTCCCACCTCAGCCCCACAAGCAGATGAGACTACAGCCTCAGGCCACCGTGCCCAGCTAATTTTTGAATTTTTTTTTATAGAGATAGGAGTCTCACTATGTGGCCCAGGATGGTCTTGAGTCTTGAACTCCTGGCCTCAAGTGATCCTCTCACCTTGGCCTCCCAAAGTGCTGGGATTATAGGTGTGAGCCACCATGCCAGGCAAATTTTCCTTTTTAGCAATTCATTTTTTTGGTCTAGGATTCAGTCCAGGATCACACATTGCATTAATTGTCATGTCATTTACTTTAATTTGGAACAGTTATTTCTTTAGCCTGTCTTTGTCTTTCATGACACTGACATTTTTTGAACAATATAGGTCAATTGTTATGTAAAATTTAAAGTTTACTTGATATGAATTGAAAGCTATTATTAATTTAGAAGACAAAGAGTCTTCTAATATATATGATAAAGAATACTTTCTATTCTTTTGGAGGGATACAAAAACACTGCCCATTTTGCTGAAAAGATAAGTAAAATGATCGTTATCATAAAAGAAAGTAACATGATCGCCACCTTGAGCTTGTTCATAGAATTTGAAAGTGTGAATAGTGATAAATAAGTATCAATTTCTAATAGCCTGTTTAGCATCTGCTGCTTTTTTTTTTTTTAATAAGATTGTTTCTACGCCTACTCAGCCATACTTACTGGGAAGATAATCAGTACTTTTTATTTCAATAGGGATGCTGAGCTTCTATTATGCAAACAATTATGGCCTTTATGAATCTTTCTGAAGCTTTATCAATGTGCTATTATCCTCAATTGGTAAGCATTTTATTTTATTAACTTCAATTTAAAGTGTTAATAAAAATAGTTGAATTTAAAAGCCAGTTACACTGTTTCTATTTGGGTAGCCATGTGGATCTGTTAACTCTGTGACTCAGCGTAAACTATAGGACTTCTTGCCTCTGGAAATAATGTGAAGACACTGGTATCTGCCTCTTGCTTAAGAAGGAAATACTGAAAAATGAAGCTGACCTATGTGAAACTTCTTGTATTCTTTCGAAGGACCTTAGAAATAGCATCATTAGGTTGTTTATGTAAATGTTAAATTAGGAGACCAGACAATTGCCACAGACTGGGAAGACATGACAGCTAAATGCAATGTGGTAACTTGACTGGATCCTGCAGCAGAAGGAAAACACCAGTGGGAAAACTGCTGAAATCAAAGTCTGGAGTTTAGTTAATAGTCATGAACCAATGTCATTTTCTTAGTTTTGATAAATCTACTATGGTAATACAAGATATTAACAATGTGGGAAATTGGGTGATGGATATGTGGGAACTCTCTGTATTAACCTTTGCAACTTCCCTATACATCTAAAATTCTTCCAAAATAAAAGGCTTATTTAAGAAAATAGGCAGCCATTTGCTTGACCCATTGTTAAAATAATAATATAGAATGTCTAGTGATGAATTAAATAATTTCACTTAGTACTTACCATGGATGTTGTAGCCTATTACACTTAGTGATACAAAGATAGTAGCCAAGTAATCCAAAAATAACCAAAAATACTCCAGCAGCAATTAATCCAGTCAGAAGGCCCATAACATCTATTTTCTCTCTGTTGCCATCTTAAAATAAATCATTAAAATAACATAAATATAACAACTATATAGCATCACCTATGATTTCAACAAATTTAATCCTGGTTCTAAACACATTATACAGCATCTAATCATTGATGTTGACTTCTTTCAAGTCTTTGTGCTAGAGAATCTACCTGAAAAAAATTTAAATGACACTTCTAATAGCCCTAGTTATGGTTATTCTTTTATTTATTAAAATATAAATATATTTATTTATTTAAAATATATATATTTTTTAAATATTTAAAATATACTACTTATATTTTAATAATATTTAAAATATACTATTTATATTTTAATAGTATTCAAAATATATTTATATTTTAATAATATTCAAAATATATCTATATTTTAATAATATTCAAAATATATTTATATTTTAATAATATTCAAAATATAATACTTATATTTTAATAATATTCAAAATATAATACTTATATTTTAATAATATTCAAAATATTTTGTTATTTAAATTTATTTATTTAAAAATTATTTATTTAAAAATATTTGAAATATCCATTTATTAAATGGATAATATTCAGCATTAAGTGGGATAAACATATTCACTGCTCAACTAGACATACTTTGGTATTAACCACTGAGATAATATTTATTAAGCAACTCAGGGTAGCTATGCAACATAACCTGCCATGGAGGGGGCCCTACCTAAGAGGAATGAAAGAATAGCTGGCGAAAAAAACACCTGACTAAAATGCAGCTAGAGATGATCAATACAGATGAGATAAAGATCTCCCCTCTCTACAAGTTACTTAATTCGATCCAACAATCTTAATTTATCTAGCATAAATGTTCCATCTGCCTTTAATGGTAAAAAAGAAAAAAAGTTAAAATAGCTTACATCTTGAAATGAATAGAATCTGCTTTTATTCTGTGCAAGTCTTGACTTAGCTGAGCTGTTTAAAACAGCTTTAAGCCCATTATCTCATTTTCCTAGTATCTCACCAAACTTGATTTTCAGTGTATTAAATAGATGAATCTGTCCTTTTCTGTCTGAGATAGCCCGGTGCATAGTTGAGAAATCTCCTTGGATTTATAAGGTATGTATGTTGCGCAACAACCAAACTCAAACAATAAAACTAAAATGTATTACAACAGAGAGAGGATGAGAAAAGCATTAAATTTGATCAATTCTTGTTTTACCTGATTTTGTGGTTGGTCCTTTAGCTGAATATTCCTGCCAAAATGCAATCTAAAAAAAAGGTAAAATTCCCAAGTTTATTCAATATCTTTATTATCACATTTCATTTGGTCCTAATGACCTAGACTAGGGGTAGTAAACTCTTGGCATGCACCATAGGTAGGAGACCAGTTCATTCAAGCTGGAGGGTGTGACTCACTCTAATTAAATCACTACCACCCACAGCTGCCTCTGCCATCTCTCTAATTGTCAAGGGATTACTGCCAGTCCCAGCTCTTTACTACTGTGCCTACTATTTTCCCTTCACCTGACTGGAGCCCCCACTAAAGCATTGGGGGAAATTATTGCATTAGAGAGTAGGTGAAAGTACCAAAGGTAGAAGTTGAGGCTGTGGACCCACTATCATGATTGAACAGGAGACTGAAGTTTTCTATGGGAGGTAAGCCCTCAGTTTGTCTCAGGAGATTTTTTTTTTTTTCCGGACAGGATTACTCTGTTGCCCAAGCTGGAGTGCAGTGGTGTGATCATGGCTCACTGCAGCCTTGACCTTCCAGGCTCAAACGATCCTCCCACCTCAGCCTCCCGAGTAGCTGGAACTACAGGCGCCTGACACCACGCCCAGGTAATTTTTTCTTTTTTGCAGAGATGGAGTTTCATCGTGAAGCCCAGGCTGGTCTTGAACTCCTGGGCTCAAGTAATCCTCCCACCTCTGCCCCGCAAAGTGCTGGGATTACAAGCATGAGCCACTGTGCCCTTCTGGGAGATCTTATTGAAAGGTATTTATTGATTTGGGAAGACATTGTTGAGACAATTTTAAGTTCAGTGCTACTTGAGAGAATAGAAATGAATTTTAAGGAACTATGATAAAATTATAAAAGATTTGTGAAAAACAGAATAAAATTCCAACAGACACAACTACACAGTATATGCTTCGTTTTCCTCCTTAATAGAAACAGCAAATACTTGTAGGGAAGGATACCTGGGGAGGTTCTTATTGAACAAAAAGTAAAATAGGACTCTTAAGAAAGGGAAAAAGGAGCTAGGGTTATGAAATCTACAAAAGTAAAGAATTTAGGGCCAGGCATGGTGGCTCATGCCTGTAATCCTAGCACTTTGTTAGGCCGATGGAGATGGACTGCCTGAGCTCAGGTGTTTGAGACCAGCCTGGGCAACATGGTGAAACCCTGTCTCTACTAAAATACAAAAAATTAGCCAGGCGTGGTGGCATGTGCCTGTAGTCCCAGCTGCTTGGGAGGCTGAGGCAGGAGAATGGCTTGAACCCGGGAGGTGGAGGTTGCAGTGAGCCGAGATTGCTCCACTGCACTCCAGCCTGGGCGACTCCGTCTCCAGATAATAATAATAATAATAATAATAATAATAATAATAATAATCATCATCATCATCATCATCATCATCATCATCATCTCAGTTAGTTAACATTTTTCAAGACTATGCCAGATTATCACAGGCACAATGCCATCTGTTTTGTACCTTATCAAGATTAACAGAATTTAGTTATATTCTAAGAAAGAACTTTTAAAAATGTTTCCCTCAAATTACACTGATAGACCAAATAATATACTTCCGAATACAAGGGCTATATGTTTTGTATCCTCAGGTTCAAGGAGAATACCTGGCACATAGCAGACTTCCAGTAAATACTTGAAATACAAATATGGGTCATCAAAAAAGGTAAGGTCACCGATAGGACAAATTACTCAGTCATAAATGATTGAAGCCTGAGTTAGAGCACTAACCATAAAATCTTGGAGTTAAATTCACTCCGCCATAAATGATTGAAGCCTGAGTTAGAGCACTAACCACAAAATCTTGGAGTTAAATTCACTCTGCCCCATGATTACTTTTAAATATAATAAACATTAAACACACAAAATCACAACAGTCAATAATTTACTAACTACTATGAAACCAGTTAATTAGGTGTAAAGCCAAGTCTAAATAGGTTAATTACCATTTTAAGGAAGTAGAAAGAGATAGCAGGTACATAATCCTGATTGTGTTTAAGGCATAAAATCTCTAATAACTGAAAGTGCCACTTTCTTAAGTACAATTTAACATTTCCAGCCAATTAACATAATCAACCACATTACCGTTTTATCTTCATCCACAAAAATCTCTCTGGCTTCCTCATAATTGCAAAGTTCTTCATTGCACTCTCTTTCTAGGTTGCCGGGAGTGAAGAGCTCCAGATCAAATCTATTATACAGAAGGCGTCTATGTATGAAAAAGTTTGCTTCTTCTTTTGATGTAAACACTAATAAAGTAATGAAAAAGACTTAAACATTGATCAAATATAGTCAAAAAATTCCTGTTTTAATTGTGGAAAAAAGTGAATAGTTCTCTTGATGTGGCTAAATTATACCAAACTTTTTTGTAAAGTTTTAAAATCTAACCCAAAAAAAGAAAGAAAAAGCATCAGTGAAGATAATTTCTGATAAATGTGAAATACAAAGTTAGCATAATTCCACTGGAGTTGATTATGTCCAAAATTAATAGTATAAGTAAAAATTATTTAAATATCTCTTTTCCCTCCAGATAATTATTTTTCCAACAATTGACAGGTCTGTTTCTAAAGAATTGGTTCCCTATTATCTTGACTGAGAAAAATTAGTGGGGCATCATGGACAACATATTGAACTGAGAGTTAGAAGACAGCTTTTTGTTCTGATTTAGCTTAAGTTATCAGGTGTGTATTCTGAGATAAGTCACTTATATTCTTTGGGCTGCCATTTCCTAATTTATAAAATTGGGAATTAAATAATCACTAAGATCTCTTTAAGTTATTAATTATTATTATTATTATTATTTTTGAGAGGGGGCCTCACTCTGTCACCGGGCCTGGAGTGCAATGGCACAGTCTCAGCTCACTGCAATCTCCGCCTCCTGGGTTCAAGTGATTCTCTTGCCTCAGCCTCCCAAGTAGCTGGGACTACAGGCACGTGCCACCACGCCCAGCTAATTTTTGTATTTTTAGTAGATATGAGGTTTCACTATTTTGGCCAGGCTGGTCTTGAACTCCTGACCTCATGATCCACCCACCTGAGCCTCCCAAAGTGCTGGGATTACAGGTGTAAGCCACCGTGCCTGGCCAAGTTCTTAAATTACAAATTAATACTTTTATATTAAAATTGCTGTATTCAAGTTTATGCTAAAACTTATAAAATTCTAAACTTCTAAATTAATAAAACTATAAGCTAATTATAAGATTTAACTAAAGACATTTAGTCCTTTCCAAAGTAGCAGCTCCCTCTACGGTACACCCCAAATACGTGTCTATAATGTTTTATAAGGTTCCCTTTACATTTGACGGGAAGGTAAATGGTAAACACTACAGGTTAAGAACAGGCTGACACAAAACCAAAGCATCCAACCATGGTAGTATTTTCAAAACCCACAAACTTTAAACTTGTTCTGGTGTCACACAAACAAAGCTTAAGAGATTTTGCTTCAGATCATATTACTGAGACTGGAATTCAGAAACTGAGAACTACATCACAATGCTTAAAAGAATTTAAAAGTGCGGATACTTTTCACTGCTCACCATTTCTAAAGAAAGAATGTATTAAAGTAGGCAATTGAAAGACTGTTCATGAGAGATCATGGTCTGGAAAACTCATACTGATTTTTGAGTGACCTCAAGTTGTACATTTATTTTTGGCCCTTTGAGAACAGTCACATTTTGTCCAAGATATTTTTTCCACAAATGAATTATCTTTCCAAACAGGTCTGAATGTTCTAAAACTATTTTGTCTAATATGGTAGCCATTAGCCACAGATGGCTATTGAGCACTTGAAATGTAGCTTGTGGCTGGGAGTAGTGGCTCATGCCTGTAATCCCAGCAGGCTGAGGCAGGTGGATCGCTTGAGCCTAGGAGTTGGAGACCAGCCTGGGCAACAAGATGAAACCCCGTCTCTACAAAAAATACAAAAATTAGCCCGGTGTGGTGGTGCACGCCTGTAGTTCCAGCTACTCGAGAGGCTGAGGTGGGAGGATCACTTGAGGCCAGGAGGCAGAGGTTGCAGTGAGCTGAGATCATGTCACTGCCCTCCAGCTTGGGTGACAGAGCAAGATCCTATCTCTAAATAAATAAATAAACAAGAAATGTGACTTGTCTGAATTGAAATGTGCTGTAAGTGTAAAATACACACAAGGATTTCAAAGACTTGGTGTTAAAAAAAAAAAGAATGTGAAATGTCTCCATAATGTTTTATATTGCTTATATTTTAAAATGGTGATATTTCAGACACAAGATTAAATTAAATACATTCTTAAAATTAATTTCACCTATTACTTTTTAGTTTTAAAATGTGGCTATTAGAAAAATTTAAATTATGTATGTAGTTCACATTATATTTTGGGGGAGCAGCAATATTCTACAGTGTCCATTTCTATATTATAAATAATAGATAGGGGCTATTTGAACCAAGCAGGAAGCTACAATGGGATAATTGGTGATAGTTGTTTTAAAAAGTATTCTAAAAGGTAGATAGAGGGGCTAGTGTGATGAAATATTTCTATTCTGTTTCCTCCTTTGTCTTCTTGTAGATTTTATATTACCACCAAATGGACATAGAATGAAAAATTTTCCAAGCCTCCATCACCCCTCACTGGGATTCCTACAATGGTCTTCCATGGGTCTCCTTGCTGCTCTACCATCTGTTTTTAACATAACAGCCAAAGAGGGCCCTTTAAAAGACAAGATAGACTGTTCCTACTTTGCTTTTTAAAAACCTTCTAACAGCAATTCCACCCCCTGCAGAGTAAGAGCCAAAGTCATTACAGTGGCTTACAAGGCCCTTCTCTGTCTGGTCCCCAAGCCCTTACCTCTCTAACCTCATCTCCCACCACTATCCCTCACGTATTCTGTTGTAGCTATGCTGGCTTCCAACACACCTGGTTCTCTCTGGCCTTTGTACTTACTGTTTCTTCTGAACAGAACTTTCTTCTTTCAGTTTGCTCTCTCACATCCTTCAGGATTTTGTTCAATGCTACCTTGAAACCCCATCCCTACCCACCCCTGGCACTCCCTGTCCACACTCTGCCTTTCTCCATAGTACTCATCACCATCTGGTTTTCTATATGCTTTACTTATTTGTTACCACTCTGTTCTCCTCACTAGAAGAAAAGCTCCATTAAAGCAGGGATGTTGGTTCTTGGCCCATAAGAGGTGCTCAAAAAATTACTGACTGAATGAACAAACTCAACTTTGCTATAGTGGGAGGAAACTCTTGGACCTAAAGTCTACCAGTTGAAGCAATTCATAGGTATAGTCTGGTGTTTCTCAGCTCGGCATAGGTTTAAAGTATAAAACTATTGATTAAGCAACCCATAGCCTGCCTCACTTAGCTATACTTACTGCATGAAATCTAAGTTCAGAATGGAGAATTAGATATCTGCCTCTGTATACTTCTCAAATATGTCCAGATCCTTACATTTTATTGGCTAAAAAGAGCAGTGCCAAATTTCTCATGACAGTCTTCTGTTCCAGTAGGTTGAGTTATTAAAAATACAACCCCATGGAACTCAAAAGCTACTTTGATAGAGGAAACAGAAAAAGGGAGAGCCACAAACATTTTTATTTTTCCTGAAATAATATTTATGCCAATATCATAAATATGATATTTATGATTAATCATGCTATTATGATTAACACTGTATTAAATCCGCCTTCCAGGGGCTGCTGCTTGCCACTTCCCTGAGTGTGCAAGTTCTGATTCTGTCACTGACTGACTTTTGGTGCCAGATCAAATTTTTCCCTGCATCCCTTAGGATCTCAGGAGAAATATTGTCTTTTGTTACTGGATTCTAAGTAACCCTGAACTTGCTTTTAATTGAAAGGAAGCAAACTTCCCTGCCCTTGAAACACCCTTGGCTTTTAGCAAGAGCTCCTATTTTCCCCTTGACCATGGCTGGAGGATGCAATGGCCTTGGCTCTGCTTCCTTAGATTCTCTACCCTTCTCTATTTTTCCTGTCTTAGACTATCCTAAGAGGCTGTCCATGCATTTCACTGCTATAAATTCACCAACCCAGATATTCCGTTCTTCTCCTCACTTCTATCTCCTCATGTTTTCTAAATAGCTCCTTTTCAGTCATTTCAACTCTACCGTCATGCTTTATCAGATTTTAGGGCCAGGCGCGGTAGCTCACGCCTGTAATCCCAGCCCTTCGGGAGGCCGAGGTGGGAGGATCACCTGAGGTCAGGAGTTCAAGACCAGCCTGGCTAACATGGTGAAACCCCGTCTCTACTAAAAATACAAAATAAATTAGCTGGGACAGTGGTGCGCACCTGTAATCCCAGCTACTCGGGAGGCTGAAGCAGGAGAATTGCTTGAACCCAGGAGGTGGAGGTTGCAGTGAGCCGTGATCACGCCACTGCACTCCAGCCTGGGAGACAGAGCGAGACTCTGTCTGAAAAAAAAAAAAAAAAAAAGAATTTCACCAAAGGTCCTTTATTTCCAGTTACTTTTCATATCTCCATTTATTATAGCCCATTTGCAGATGGAAGGCATTGGCTTCTCTGCCATACAACTCTCTTGAGGCAGAGTTACTGCTACTCACTCTTTCCTCTGCTCTCAGTTCTGTGTTCTGGCTTCTGTTATACAGTTGATGGAGATCGTCTGTTTAACAAACACCCTGCCTCCCACACAGATGAAGATGTCCTCCAGGGCAGAGATTGCAGTCTTTCATTTCTATGTCTCCACCACACAGCACGGGGCCTGGCACTTAGCATGTGTTCATCAAGTGGTGACTGACTGAACAAGTTGTCTTTTCAAATGTGTCGGATCCCTCATTCACATTTCCACAGACATCTCCAGCCCTCCACACTCAAGTATGATCTCTAAATTCCTTCCATAGCTTGTGGTGTCCTTGAGACTGTCTTTTATTTATTTATTTATTTATTTGCTTTTATTTTTATTTTTTGAGATGGAGTCTCACTCTGTCGCCCAGGCTGGAGTGCAGTGGCACGATCTCAGCTCACTGCAGCCTCTGCCTCCCGGGTAGCTGGGATTATAGGCACGTGCCACCAAGCCAGGCTAATTTTTGTATATTTAGTAGAGACGGGGTTTCACCATGTTGGCCAGGCTGGTCTCGAACTCCTGACCGCAGGTGATCCACCTGCCTCGGCCTCCCAAAGTGCTAGGATTACAGGTGTGAGCCACCGTGCCGGCGAGAGTGTCTCTTATACCCGTGTCATGTGAATGAATGATTGCACTCACAATCATTTTAGGGAAGAGCATCTGATTATGGAACCTTATAAGTGCAACCTTCTAAGTGGACTTACATATATGGTGCAGCTTGAGAGGGACTAAAAAGGATCCTCTTCCAAAATCTCTCCCTCTCTCTCTAGCTAGCCTATCCAGTTGCTAGAATTCTGTCATCAGAGTTTCACGCCTTTGGGTTAATGGATTGTTCTAGCTCAACACACACAAACACAGCTGTATTAATCATTAATAAAGTCAGTTAGGAGTACTAGTGTAACAGATCCTTCCCAAATGAAAATGAGCTGAGAATCGGATCTGATGAGAAGGGATAAGAGACAGGAATGTGTGGGGACGTGGATCCAGAGTACTGACACTGAGTGGGGAAGCACCATGAATAGTCAGGGAGAAGGATGCTGAGAGACAGAGGCTTTTTTTTTCTTCTGGTTTTACTAGGTTAGGCTTTTAAGATATAGGCAGGAAACAAACTGTTAATGATCTGAAACCTAAAAACTGTGGACTTCCAGGTTAGCAAGCCCCAAACCTAATCTTTTCTCAACTAGCTGCTTTTATCTAGACAACTAGACCATCTGAAGTCAAAAAGGACCTCAGAGATCATTTTACGCCCCACCCGCATCACTTTTACAGATGAAGACATTCAAGCCAAACGGGATTAAGTTATCTCGCCCAGGGTCTCGCAAGTCCAGACTAGATCCTGGACTCCCCGTTCGCCTCTCCAGGAAGAACAAGTAATTATGCTTATTATAATCGCCACACAGCTTCATCTAGAGAAATGTCACTCACTGATTTTCAGAAGCTGAAATAGGTTTTCCATTCAATTAACCACAAACTAGGTCTTACGTATATACTTATTAAAGGAGACTCACAGACATCAAATTCTATAAATTGCAGTTAAAGAACATAAAAAAACACAACCTTGCCAAATATGCCACAAATTAAACTAAAGGATATTTTAGTGTTTCTATGATTGCTGGGGGTATGTAATTTCAAATACTGCACTTTCTCACTGAGATCTGTGCTATGCGGCTCTGGGTTCCAGGGACGTTTTAGTGCTTACCTTCTTCTCCCGCATGCTTAGAAGCCTTTGGACCTCTTGCGCAATGAGGAAACCCCAGGGTAACTGTGGGCAGTTGGCTGAGTAGAACCAGAAGCGTAAACATAGTCTGGCAACTGTCAAACAAACTAAAACAAACAAAAAAAAATATTAAAAAAAAAAGGCCCCTAGCTCAGCACTTTGAGTTTCTGTCGAACTGAATCACCAACCTGTTGTACTCAAAGCCTAGGCGCAAGAGCGCCCGGCGCGCGGTTTCGGTCGCCGGAACCCGACGCGCGCCCAGGAAGCAGCCCCTGAGAGCGCCTGGGACAAACGCCGTGCCCAGTGACCCTGCCGAGGGCTGATCGGGCACCTGTCGCCGCGGGCAACCCTCGCTATGTGTTCGAATCCAACCCAGTCCGCCGAGGTGGCCCCTTCCAGGTAACCCCCTCCCCGCCGAGGTCCTGCCGCCAGGCCTCGTACCTGTGTCCCCCCGCACATGTTCCAGCAGCCCCCGGGCCAGAGGCTCTTCTTGGGGCGGTTCCTTCGGCCGCCAGGCCCTCGGTCTCCGGCGCCCTCAAACCTCGGCGACGCTCCGGGCCTCGCTCTCCGCAGGGTCTGGATGGCCCCCGCGCGCAAACCTGGGAAGGGCCTGGGGTTCGCAGAGGGGCGCCCGGGGAACACGCGCGGGGTGAGGTCCTGCCTCGGTCCGGGGAGGCGGCCGACGGAGGACGGGAGGAGGCGGCTACCTGGGGACACCTGGCCGCGCCCCACCTCCCGGGGGCCGGGCCTACCTGCGGCGAGCGGGCGGGCAGTGGGCCGGCGTCTCCCGGGAGCCCGCGCTGCGCTCTCAGCCGCCCCAGCTTCTGCCCCATCCCCGGGCGGGCCAGCCGCCTGCCGCCAGTTCTGGCCCCGCCTTGGCGGCGCGGGTGGCTGCTTTTCGATTTGTGTCTGCACTCGGCGTTCTCAATGATCCTAATTCAGGAAGCATTTCGGTTCTCAGTCTTAAGCAGAGCGCCCTCGGCGCGTCCAGGGCTTTTCGCTTTGGGTCCCACTGGGCCAGGAGTCCTGTGGTTACCTTAGGTCAACTGTTCTCAAAAGGGTGGTCCGGGGACGAGGACAAGATATTCATCAGACAAAATACCCTTTATTCGTGATAAGAAATGGAAATGACCTTACAAGTAATTGATTACATTGGTTCTCCAATGGTGGTCCGCCAGGTCTGGGATGTCTCCAAGATCTTTTCCAGGGGTCTCTGAGGGCAAAACTATTTCCATTATAGTAACAATAAATGATTTGCCATTTTCACTTTCATTCTCTCAAGAGTGTACAGTGGAAATTTCCAGGGGCTATTTGAAGTGTAATAACGTCATCATTCTGTCTCCTAATAGAATACCTGAGTGAGCGTGCTTGTATTTTCTGGTATTTTCCATAGTAGTATGTTTACATTATCAGTATGTACATTTTATAGAGATTTATGTAGATTTATAGAGATTAATAAAATTTGTTCTCAGTACTTGTGAACTTAATTTTTTTTCTTTCCTTTTTTCTTTTTCAGAGTAGGGGGTCTCACTTTGTTGCCCAGGAACTCCTGGGCTCAAGAGATCCTCCTGTCTCATCCTCCAGAGTAGCTGGGACTACAGGTGTCCACCAACTCTCTTGGCTACTGCTTTTGTACTTTGATTAGTTCTATTTGTTCATATCTACTAGGATAGCTATAACCTCATTTTTCTGAAGTAATTATCTTGAAATCTTGATCTTTTCCTTGAGTCTATGCATAAACATAACAAAAAGTAAGCTTTGTTGTCTTGATTTCAAATAATATTTTGAAAATTTCTCAGTTTTAATGTTAGATAATAAATATCATTAGATAAAATTCACATAAGTGAAAGCTCTTTGGGGTCCTTGATAATGTAAAAGAGCGTAAAAAGGTCTTGATTAAAGACTTCAAAAACTGCTGCATCAAGTAATGAAGGCAGCAGGTGGACAGAGTACCTATGCCAGGTGATGGTCACATCCTTCTTTATCCAAAGAACGTGCTTAACAGTTCTTTGAAACACTATTTATGCTTTGGTCGAAGTGGTCTGGCACTTGCTGGGGACCAAGGGAAACATTTTTTCCCCCTTCATTTTTTTTTTTTTTTTCTTGAGACAGAGTCTTGCTCTGTCACCCAGGCTGGAGTACAGTGGCACAATCTTGGCTTACTGTAACCTTCGCCTCCTGGGTTCAAGCGATTCTCCTGCCTCAGCCTTCCGAGTAGCTGGGATTACAGGCATCCACCACCACGCCCGGCTAATTTTTTGTACATTTAGGAGAGAGGGGTTTTCACCATGTTGGCCAGGTTGTTCTCAAACTCCTGACCTCAGGTGATCCACCTACCTCGGCCTCCCAAAGTGCTGGGATTACAGGCATGAGCCACTGTGCCCGGCCTCAAATTTTTGACTAATTCAATTTTTACCAAATTCTGTTTTTCTCCTCCCAAAGGATATTGTCTATTTTATTATTATTATTGATAATCAACTGAATTATTCCTAAGTTTTCTGCAGAAATTTTGTTTTCACTGATTCCTTCTAGGCAGTGCTTTTCCTTTCCCTTCTTCCAATCCCTTCCTCTTCACTTTCCATTTGTCTACCTCGTGGTCTAAACTATTTCTATGATGGATTCTTCTTTCCCTCTTATTCAAGCAATTGGGATCAGACTATGAAGAGGCCAGACATGGTTTATTGTGGTTGAACACAAGAATAGGAAACATTTTCACTAGAACACCCATTTTCCTGTTTATTCATTGAGTCAACCTACAGCACTGAGACCTCCTGGTGGGGAGATGGACACCACAGCTTCTGTTGTGGAGGAGAACTTAATCTGACTGAGACCTATATCTGAGAATGTGGGCCTGTAAAGTTCTTATCAAGTGCAAGAACTGACTTATTCATTTTTGCATTCTCGACAGTACCCAGGGGAGTGCTTTCTACATTGTTCGTGCTGAATACATTTTCATGGAGTGGAAGCAATTTATCTTCAGGTAGGAAAAGTGCTTCATTTCCCACTACTTTGGGGAGAGGCCAATGGTCAAATGCCTCATGCTATGGAATCAGCAGTTGTGAACTTTGATGACATTCCTTGGTAAAATGAGTCTGCCCACATATCTGGATATTTGGACCAAAACAAATGAGGCCTTGTGCTGACATCAAATATCAGAGTTTATAGACAGAGAGGGAGGCAGACAGAGAAATGAAGTCTGTTTCTCAGTAGTGAATTACATCCCTGTGTGTTTCCCTGTAACATTGAGTCCTAGAGAATGTTACAGCATTTGGCAGCATGCACACAAACTTCAGTCACTACGGAGCTGCAAGATATTTTGAGGTTAGATGGCAAAGAGAGAAATGAGAAAAGCCAGTAACAACAATGCCCAAGAGAGCTGATTTCTTCTATTATTTCCTTGCTGTATTAATTTTATTTTGTGCCATCTGCTATTTAAAGTTATAATATTCTTGGTCGGGCACGGTGGCTCACACCTGTAACCTCAGCACTTTGGGAGGCCTAGGCGGGCAGATCATGAGGTCAGCAGTTTGAGACCAGCCTGGCCAACACAGTGAAACCCCGTCTCTACTAAAAATACAAAAAAAAATTAGCCAGGCATGGTGGCAGGCACCTGTAAGTCCAGCTACTCGGGAGGCTGAGGCGGGAGAATCGCTTGAACCCAGGAGGCAGAGGTTGCAGTGAGCCGAGATCGCGCCATTGCCCTCCAGCCTGGGCAACAAGAGTGAAACTCCATCTCAATAATTATAATAATAATAATGTTATAATATTCTTATGCCTTTCTTCCAAAGCATTTTAAGTGTTCTCACAGATGGTATTTTTCTTATACTGGCTATCTGTGGAGTTGGGCTAGATATTATAATTCTCATTTTACAAAGAGGGATATTGAAGCATGAAGTAAATGAATAGTCATCGGCCAAGTAGTAGCTTGGTTCTTGACTCTGGGTTTTTTTTTTTGTTTTTTTTTTTTTGAGTTATTATCAAGCAATAAAGGGCAGTAGGTAAAGAATTATTTAGTTCAGAGGGAATAAGAAAAAAAATTGGAGCAATGAGATTAATGGACTTGGATTAATGTGATAATGCATCTCTGAATTTGAGCACATACCCGCCCACTTACCTGTGTGAATTCAAGAATGAAATGAAAACTCACTTTACTGTGTGGGCATGAGGATGGACTCAAGGACTGTGACAGGAGATGTTAAGATTGCAGCCATGAAGCTCTGTAAGTAAAGTCACCTCCACATCCTTAAAGGCACATCGATGACTATCATTAGCCTCTTGAAGAGATGCAACTTTATTAAACTTGCTGTTGCCGTGACATTTTAGCCTTGACATTTCAACATCAATTGTTTGCTGTTTTAGTTTATCTCAGTATAGTCAGCAAGTGAGAAATGAAAGACTCCTACTGTTCCAGGTTGATTATATATCTACATGCAGGTATTTTCAGATTCAACAAATCAGTAAAGGGGTTAAGAATTTTATTTTAAACATTTGCTTAAAGCCCTTTAAGGACACTTTTGAACAGAACTTTAATTCTACTATTTAAGAACAATGATTGTTAATAACAAAAAAGTTAAATAAAAGAACAGTGTGAGGGGTCATCTGATTTCATGTCACACTGTGAGTAGTAATAAGGCCTACGTGTCATGTTTAAAATATATTAATCTTTATAGCTCTTAGAGCGCACCGGAGCTGCCCCCAGGGACCTATGACAGGGACTTGTGTCATGGCTGGCCACAGAACTGTCACTCTGTGTACTGATGTTGGCATTTTTACACCTATTGTACACTTATCAGCCTTATTTTCTCATCATAGTCTTACTTTCTGATTGCCACACAATTTTTGGCCTTTTTTTTGTGAACTCATATTCAAGTGATCATGATATTCTAAGCAAAGATTATTTGGCATCAGTTGCAAAACTATACTTTCCAAACACATGTGAAAAAGGAGTTTAAACAAATTAGGCATTTCTAGCTATGCAATTGACGGTGTTTAAGAATCATTTGTTAATTCTGCATCAGAGGCCAAGCGCTCACGCCTGTAATCCCAGCACTTTGGGAGGCTGAGGCAGGTGGATCACCTGAAGTCGGGAGTTCGAGACCAGCCTGACCAACATGGAGAAACCCCATCTCTACTAAAAATACAAAATTAGCCAGGTGTGGTGGTGCATGTCTGTAATCCTATCTACTTGGGAGACTGAGGTAGCAGAATCGCTTGAACCCAGAAGGTGGAGGTTGCGATGAGCCGAGATGGTGCCATTGCACTCCAGCCTGGGCAACAAGAACAAAACTCAATCTAAAAAAAAAAAAAAAAAAAAAAAAAGTCTGCATCAGAAAAAGATGATAATGAAGTGTTAATGTTGTCGGTACTGAAAGACACACATTACATGGAAGTTCTATTAGGAAATATACCAACCAGGATCTGTTTATCCTCCTTTGGTGAAGGATTCTCCTTTGTTATTTTATGTACCGCCCTGGCTTGACACTCTTGAATGAAGTGTAAACTGAGAGTTTTGTTTTGTTTCGCTTTTCTGGAGACAGGGTCTCACTCTATTGCCCAGGCTGGAGTGCAGTGGCAGTTTCACAGCTCACTGCAGCCTCAACCTCCTGGGCTCCAGCGATCCTTCTGCCTCAGCCTTCAGAGTAGCTGGGACCTCAGGCACATGCCATCATGCCTGGCTAATTTTTGTATTGTTTGTAGAGACAGGGGTTTTGCCATGTTGCTCAGGCTGGTCTGGAATTCCTGGGTTCAAGGGATCTTCCCGCCTTGACCTCCCAAAGTGCTGGGATTACAGGCATGAGCCACGGCACCAGGCTTAACTGAGTTTTGAAGTATAAAATATGGATTTTAAAGCGTGGTTTCTTTTACTGATGCTTACTAATGGCTTTAGTAAAGTTTATGGATGTTCCTTACCCAGCCTGGACACTTCAATCCTGACAGTCCCTTGAGAGCCAAGGAGCAACATTTACCCATGTTTGTATTTTTGCTGCTTAGTACCTCACCTGGCTGGCATGTAGCAGGACTTCCTGGTTTTTAAGTGAATGAAACAATAAATAAGTTCTAGTCCTAAGTCTGCTTCTCCCTAGCTAGATGACTTTGAACAAGTCACTTCTCTGAATTCTCTCTACCTCTTCTGAGACATTGTGAGTTTGGTCTGCATGAACTCTAAGATTCCTTCCTGTTCTAAAATTCTATTTAAGTAATTTTCTAATTATTCTTTCTCATTCTGGATAGTCTTGAATTACTTGCTTTTATATAATTTGTATATTATATAAAAGGCAATCAATCATATACAAATAAAAATTTTAGAATTTATCTGTAAACACAAATTATATATTTTATAAGTTTTTCACCCACAATTATATAAAATGGGAAGTTGATGGGAAATCTCTATGTGACAAAAGATACAAAAACATTTTTAGGGGCTGGGCGTGGTGGCTCACACCTGTAATCCTAACACTTTAGGAATCTGAAGCAGGCAGATTACTTGAGGTCAGGAATTCGAGACCAGCCTGGCCAACATGGTGAAACCCCGTCTCCACTAAAAATACAAAAATTAACTGGGCATGGTAATGCATGCCTGTAATCCCAGCTACTCTGGAGGCTGAGGCAGGAGAATCATGTCAACCTGGGAGGTGGAGGTTGCAATGAGCCAAGATTGCGCCACTGCACTCTAGTCTGGGCAACAGAACGAGACTCTGTCTCAAAACAAAACAAAACAAAACAAAAACAAACAAACAAAAAACATTTTCAGGGAGGCTGAGGTGGGAGGATCACTTGGGCCCAGGAGATCAGGGCTGCACTGAGTTATGATTGCACCACTGCACTCCAGCTTGGGCAATAGAGCAACATCCTGTTTAAAAAAAAAATTTTTTTTTTAGACTTATCTTCATTGGCCTCTGTACTGTGATAATTCGATTTGATTCCTGTGTTATCAGGTGATATTATTACAGAATTTTTCTGTTATCAGAACTTCTACTTTTTTTTTTTCCAATTTTGCTGTTTTTCTTGGGTTTGTACTGAATTTGTATATCTTTCTTGTAGTATATCTACTATTATTTCCCTGTTTTAGCTCTGCCACTGCCTCAAATTTTTTTTATTTTCTCTTTATCTTCAGAATTTATTTATTTATTTGTTTATTTTTGAGACAGAGTCTCGCTCTGTCGCCAAGGCTGGAGTGCAATGGCACAATCTTGGCTCACTGCAACCTCCACCTCCCGGGTTCAAGCGATTCTCCTGCCTTAGCCCCCTGCGTTGCTGGGATTACAGATGCCCACCACCATGCCTGGCTAATTTTTGTATTTTTAGTAGAGACGGGGTTTCACCATGTTAGTCAGGCTGGTCTCAAATTCCTGACCTCAGGTGATCCACCCGCCTCGGCCTCCCAAAGTGCTGGGATTACAGGCATGAGCCACCATGCCCAGCCTATCTTCAATATTTTAAGATTTAGAATTTTAAAATATTGGGAATATTGATCTGTCTTTCATCCTTTTTCCTTTTCCTTTTTCTTTTTTTAGAGATGAGGTTTCACCATGTTGGACAGGCTGGGCTAAAAATCCTGGCTTCAAGTGATCCTCCCACCTCAGCCTCCCAAAGTGCTGGGATTACAGACATGAGCCACTGTGCCTGGCCCTGTTTTTCATCTTTAAAGAGAACAATGTCTTTTCTTTATTTTGAGGCATGTATTGAACCTACTATGAGGTTGTTTAGATAGATACAATAAATACTGAATGAATTAATTCTTAAGATGGTACCAATTTTTATCATTATATGCTTTTCTTATTTTCTTCTATTTTTGTTTGTAGGTTCCCTTTTTCCTATTTCACAATTTTACGTTTCTTTCTCTTTTCCTTCCCTCTTATTTCTTCTAAGTCATTACTTCAAAAAATTTTTTCTTATGATTCTCAATGCTTTCTTGTTTTCTTTCCCTAAGACGTTTCTATAATTTTCTTAGGTTTAATAATATGAAATTGCCACTTATGTAAATAAAAAAAACAGCCAAATATCAGCAATTTCATATGGTTCAACATAATTGCTTTCCTTAGGACCTGGCAGATGCTAAATTAATACTTACTGAATGAATTAGTAAATACATCCTCCTTTTCATCATTTTTGGTCAAACTATTCCAGGACATTTATATTGCAGAGCTCAAGGGCCTAGATAGCATTAGGCAAAAGGCTCCTTACCAACTGTGGACTCAGAAGTCTTTAGTCATAAATGATCTTCCCAAATGTGCTGATTCTGTTAGTCCATGTCATCAACATGCTACAGATAAACCTGAGGATACCCTTGTGAGCAAGCATGTGGTTACCTACATCAATGTTATTCTGTATGTATTTGCATGAATGTTAGTAAACATCAATTTATGGAGTATGCATCTTTTTAACGTCTCAACAAGCTGAACTATGGTAGAAGAGAAAAGAAAGTTTGTTCAGACATTGTGGAAACTGAAAGGAAGGTTAAGTTTCTTAAAATACATTCCCATTTCAATCTCATTAGCAGTAAAATGACGTATGTGTTATTCCCAAACCATTTACCTCTGGTATTCCCCTCCCTTCAATGGGCCTTTGAGAATTTATGCACAGTGAAATAACAGCTGAGCCCTGAAGAAGAGATGTATTAATTAAGGAAACATTTCGGGTTTCCTGAGTTGCTGATGACTGCCGTTGCCCATCCTGTCCACGGAGATTTTTAGTTCAAAATGTTCTTAGTACTTTAATATGTTAACTAGCCCATCATTTCTAACAGTCAAATAAGATCTTTGTTTAATGCATTGACAAACAGGTGCAGAAATTTTACTAGCTTGCACAAGGAAATTTAGTAAGTGAATCAGGAGGAGCATTGCAACTGGGGTTTCTGGTTTCTGTCCAATAGGATTTCCACTTTACCCCCTTAGCATTTGAATTTACTTAATCATTCAGTAATTGCACTTATGATTCATACCCTATGACTTATGAAGAGATTCTTTTGTTCTCTTTCAGTCATGAAAAGGTGAAATTCAAGATCTGACTCTGACATGTGGCATCACCTTTTCAGGAAATAAAAGATATACTTTTTTCTTTCTTTTTTAAAAAGAAAATTGCAATTTTTAAATAGCAAAGCAATTTGTGCCTTTGTAAGACATCCAAATAATATAGAAGTTTATTAGTAAAATAAGTAAAAGGACTTTTTTAAACTGTTAACGTAAGTCTGCACAAAGCCCAAGACTTTTAAAAATGACCTCTGAAGAACCACTTAAATACTTATGTCAGGAAATTTTGTTGTCTTAAGTTGATGATTTTTTTGGACACATTTAATATTGCGAATATTTTCTTTGTATAGAGTCTGTTGTAATGCATAATGTTTTAAAACTATGTTTTTAGAAGTTTGTTGCCACTCTCACATCTTACTTCAAAATAAATTCCAGATGACTTTAAGAATTAAATGAAAAAGTGACCCCATAAAAGAATGAGAAGAAAATATGTGTGGATAATATCTTCTCCTGGAGTGAAGAAGAACTGTCTAATAACAAAAGCAAAAGAAAAATTATAAATGTAAAGATTGATAAATTTGACCTCATCAAAATTAAACATTTTCAGACATGGTAAGACACTATTAAAGCAAATGACAAATTGGGAAAATATTTGCAACATATATGACAGATAAAGGGTAGAGATCTTTACTCTTTAAAGTACTGAAACGAATCAGCAAGAAAAAAATCAGTTAAAAAACAGATATAACACATAGACAATTCACAAAAGAAGAAATAAAAATAGCAAATTAGTAAACCTCAGAAAATGTTCAGCTTCACTAGGAATCAAAATGATAAAAATTTAAATAAGTTTTTTTGTTTTGTTTTGTTTTGTCAGTTAGATTGACAAAGAGAAAAAAATAATGACACATTCAGTTCTGGGAAGGGTGTGGTGGAAAGGGCACTCTCTGTTCACTACTGGAATAACCATTTTAGAAGGCAATAGTAATGCACTTCAATAAGTGTGGAGACTCTGTTCTTAAACTTAACAAGAGATTATTGCCTTATCCATTTCAGGAACTTAACTATTACACTTTTGTGTTGCTGATTTATAAAGATATCTCATGAGTAATTCTCTAATTACATATTTAATGCCTCTTCAGCTATTTCTATATTCTACTTATCATTTTCTACATATATTAAAAAGTTAAGGATGAGTGTGGTGGCTCACACCTGTAATCCCACCACTTTGGGAGGCTGAGGCATGAGGATTGCTTGATACCAGGAGTTCGAGACCAACCTAGGCAACATAGTGAGACCCTCATCTCTACAAAAAAAACTGAAAAATTAGTGGGGCGTGGTGTCACATGCCTATAGTTCCAGCACTTGGGAGACTGAGGTGGGAGGATTGCTTGAGCCTGGGAGATCGAGGCTGCAGTGAGTGATTGCACACGCCACTACACTCCAGTCTGAGTGACAGAGAGAGCTTCTGTCTCAAAAAAAAAGTTCCAGTTCATTCTTCGGTTTTTAAAAAATAACAAGTTGACTTCAACAAAGTGAACTGAGTTCCCCTCTACTTTCAAATGACTTTTTGAAAAGTTAAGAAATACTCCTATTATTTTCTATTACAAAAGCAATATTTATATTTATTATAGAAAAATTAGGAGATAAGGAAAGAGAAGAAAAATGCCTAATTCCACTTCCTAGTTTACCATTTGGAGTACATCATTCCAGGCCTTCTCCCATCCATACATATATGTATGTATTATACAGGTTATCAAATGAACTTCCAGAAAGCATTATAAATGTATATGTCCACCTCCATATAATGATAAATGACAAGTATTGTCCCTTTTCAAATAATGGACATAAACATTTTAAGAAAATGGTTTAAAAATAGCCTCTTGGTTATGTATAGTGGCTCACGCCTGTAATCCCAGCACTTTGGGAGGCTGAGGCAAGAGGATCACTTGAGCCCAGATGTTCAAGACCAGCCTTGGCAACATGACAAAACTCTGTCTCTACAAAATACAAAAATTAGTCAGGTGTAGTGGCACACACCTGTTGTCTCAGCTACTTGGGAGGCTGAGATGGGAGGATTGTTTGAGTCTAGGAGGTCAAGGCTGCAGTGAGCTGTGTTCCAGCCACTGCACTCCAGCCTGGGTGACAGAGTGAGACCCTATTTAAAAAAAAAAAAAACCTCTTATTGCTTTAATTAGCATATTTTTACACACTCATTGGCTATTTGTAGTTCTTTAAGTTCCCCATTAGTGTTTTTTGCTGAGTTGCATTTCAGCCGAGTGTAATCCCAAGATTGTGGAAACTCTTGTTTTTATTTGGGCCTAGTCTATTCTTGGAATTTCTACAGAAAAATAATCATTTTATCTATGGTTTGTCCTGTATGGAAATCGTAATCATGATAATTTGAATAACAGAGGTTACTCAAATGTTTCCTCTTTGCATTTAAGACCATATTAAATATCTTTTCCTGAAAAAAAAAAAATCACTGTCCTAATGATACCTCCTTAAGTGCTCTGGGGGACATAAGAATGAATGGTAATATAAAAAACATTTTTTAATTGAGATAAAATTTACATAACAAAATTTACCATTTTAACCATTTTAAAGGGTACAACACAAGGGCTTATGGTTTATTTACAATGTTGTGCAACCAACACCGCTATCTAATTATGGAACATTTTCATGGCCCCCAAAAGAAGCCCTGTACTCACTAAACAGTCACTCCCCATTTCCCATTCCCCCAGCCCCTGGCAACCACCAACCTACTTTCTGTCTCTATGGATTTGCCTATTCTGGACATTTCATATAAATGGAATCATACAATACGTAGTCTTTTGTGACTGGCTTGTTTCTCTTAGAATAATGTTTTCAAAGAGAACATACGTGCATTATAGCATGTATCAGTACTCCCTCCTTTTTATGGCTAAATAATAATCCATTGTGTGGATATACGGCGTTTTGTTCAACCTTCATTAGCTGATAGACATTTGGGCTGTTTCCAATTTTTAGCTATTATGAATAATGCTGCTATGAACACTCATGTACAAGTTTTTGTGTGAACCTATGTTTTCCATTTTCTTGAGCATATACACCTAGGAGTGGAACTGCCAGGCCATATGGTAACTCTATGTTTACGTTTTGAGAAATATGTAACATTTTTAAGGCTTAATATGTGTGTGGTACTTGGCTAAGCACTTGACTTGCATTTTCTTATAGAATGCTCACAACTTTCTGCAGTAGACCCGATTATTATGCCCATTTTACAGATGAGGGCACTATAGCTCAAAGATGTTAAACAACTTGCTCAAGGGCTGACAGCTAGTTAGGACAGAGCCAGGATTTGAGCTAACATAGTCTGGCTCTAGAATCTGAACTCTTTACTACTTTTACTGCCTTAATACACTTACGGCCCGAAAGGGCAGAGGACAGCACACAAGTAACCAAACAAAGCCAAATGAAGTAGAATTGTAAGACCCATGTAAGGTACTTAGAAAATTGCATGCGGAAAGTGCAACAGAGGAGGGAGCATTTGAAGCAAACCTCAATTGGTGAGAACAAATTCAAGAAGAGGAACTGGAGTAAAGGCCAACTAGGTGAAAGGACTATTACAGGATTGGCAAGTTAGTTTCACCGTAAGTGCCAGTTCTAGTTAATTGGTAGTGGCAGTGAGTAGCACTATGTAGAGATACTGTATCTCAGCTCAGTGGGAAAGCCTGTGATGATTAATTAACAATATCTGCCATGGGCAGGGGAGGGGAGATTTGTAGCACTCGTGATATGAATTTTCATCACTGGACTATTATGATATGGAGATGAGAAATTATGGTTCATATTTTGGAAAGCATGACTGTATGATTTTGACTGGATCATAGGGTATGGGTAGGGAAAGTGGAGTCTTAAATAAGATTAGCAATATGTGGTGAGGCTGTATGACAGAGTGTTTTAAATGACAGACTGAAGAGTTTGTACGTGAGTCAGTAGGTAGTGAGGAGTCATGGAAAATTTTTAAACAGGAGAATAGTGTCATAGGAACCCTACTCTAAGAAGATTAATCTGGCAGGGGCATACAGAATGAATTGATGTAGTGAATGAGTGGAGACAGAGACTGTTCAAGGCAATGTTAAAAAATTTAGTGGATGATACCTGGTCAAAACAGGGGACAACCACTTTTTCCCATTAATTTGATAAAGATTAAAATGTAGGTATGAGGAAATGAATACTCAAATAGTCTACTGGTGATACATTGGTTTAACTTTTCTGGAGGGCCATTTGGCAACACATGTAAAAAGCCTTAAAAATGATTCAGTCCTTTTAACCCAGTATTTAGCAACTTATGCCACAGAAGTAAGCCTGGATGTATGCAAAGATGTAGCTCTGAAGACGTTCATTGCATTGCCATTTTAAAAATCAAATGTATGTTCATTGCGTTGACGTTTAAAAAAACAAATGTAGCTCAGATACTGGCTGTGCAGTTTCTCTTCTCGTCACTAGCTAACCTGAATCAAGACTTGGCAATTACTTACATTCACCATAGAGAACTCACTATATGAAAACCATTTAGGGCTGAGCGTGGTGGCTCACGCCTGTAATCCCAGCACTTTGGGAGGCAGAGGCAGGCGGATCACTTGAGGTCAGGAGTTTGAGACCAACCTGGCCAACATGGTGAAACCCTATCTCTACTAAAAATACGTAAAATTAGCCAGGCGTGGTGGCAGGCGCCTGTAGTTCCAGTTACTCTGGAGGCTAAGGTAGGAGAATCACTTGAACCCAGGAGGCAGAGGTTGCAGTGAGCCGAGATCGCGCCATTGAACTCTAGCCTAGGTGACAAGAGTGAAACTCCATCTCAAAAAATAAAAAGAAAAGAAAAAAAGAAAGAAAACCATTTAGTCAGCAATGTTGAATGTACTAAAGATTACATAGGGGAGATGTAAAAGAGGCTTTAATAACATTGAAAAGCGCTTAGTACACAACTTGAAGAAGTCCCTTAAACGTGTCTTCCCTCTCCACAGCACTGAGCTGGAATCCTCATTGCTGTGACCCTTCTCCCCACAGCACTTAGTCCTTATCCTTCTTTTCTTCTCTCTTTCACTGTACAGTTACTTTTTTCCACTTGACTTTGGGCATCAGAGTCTATCCTGAACAGGCCTCTTTTTTAAAAAGCTGGTTTCTCTTTAGAAAAAATTGTTGTAAATATTTGTGGAAAATATAAAAATTACTCATGAGTTTCACAAAACACTGGGAACAGTTATATGTTAAAAGAAGAGGGGAGATTTGTTAAATACATTTTGGTACAACTTGTTACTACCTAAAACTTGTTGAGCTCTCATGGGCAACATGAGAATCCCTAGGTAATTGTGATCATTTCCATGGTTTCAGATATGACTAATGTGCTGACAACTCTCAAATTTATATTTCTAGCACAAATCTTTCCTCTGTGTTCCAGACATATTATCTCACTTTAGGTTAATATATCTATACTTGATGTCTCAAAGATACCTGGAACTTACCGCATTAAACCTAATCCTCATCTTCTTCCCTCTAGTCTTCCCAAACTCAGAAAATGGCAGTACCATCTGAAAAGTTACTAAAGTCAGAAGCTTAGTAGGCATCCTTGGTTCTTTCCTTCTTTCACACTTCCTTCCATATCCAATTGATTAACAAGTCTATTAGCACTGCCTCCAAAATAGTCATCAACCTCTTTTTATACCCATTCCTTACCCCACTCCAGAAGAAGTTTCCATGCAGAAAGGATAGCGTGTATAAAAGCATAGAGATCTAAAAGGGCAGGATTGTCTGAGGAAACTGCAGGTGTGTAAGGTTGGTAAGTCTATGTGGTTTCAGGGAGATGAGTCTGGAAAAAATGTTCCTTAGAAAATGGGAGAAGATGGGATTCAAGAGCTAAGGTGGCAGGTTTGGGTGAGGACCTATGTAGAGATCTGGTGCAAACACTTACCATCTCTTTTCCAAAATTCTAGCAAAGGAAAGATGATACCAACCAAAGGAAACATAACACACAGTTTTAATAAGCAAAAAGAGGTAACAAACCTTTTTCTTTCTCACCCAGAAGAATAGGTCTTGCTAAGTGTACATTACCAAAAGTATTATGGTTATGAATAGGCTGGGCGCCTATTAGAAAAGCAAAATAGGCTGGGCGCAGTGGCTCACGCCTGTAAATCCCAGCGCTTTGGGAGGCTGAGGCAGGAGGATCACTTGAGGCTAGAAGTTTGAGGTTACAATGAGTTATGACTGTGCCTCTGCACTCCAGCCTGGGCAACAAAGTAAGACTCTGTCTCAAAAAAAAAAAAAAGCAAAAATAATACAACCACTTTTAGTTATGGATGAATTTATTTCATCTCAAAGGCTTTATGTTGGCAGATTTTAACTTTGGAGGAACACCCAGCACGTACTTGCTTTCTTTTTTTCTTCTCCTTTTCAATGTTAAAAATTTAAGATATAAATCATATGCTATAAAATTCATCTTTTTACATGTACAATTCAGTGATTTTAGTATTTTCATAAGGTGGTAAAACTATCACAACTGTGTCATTCCGGAACATTTTTGTCACATTCAAAATATAACCCCCACTCATTAGCAGTCATTCACCATTCTCTCTCTCTCCAGAAGTCCCTATTAACTACTTTAATCACCCTTCTGTCTGTGTGGATTTGGCTATTCTGAACATTTCATGTAAATGAAATCATACAATATGTGGTCTTTTGTGATTGGCTTCTTTCACTTAGCATGATGTTTTCAAGGTTCATCCACACTGTAGCATGCATCGGTACTTCATTCCTTTATATGGCTAAATAGTATTTTATTTTCTGGATATACTACCTTTTATCTATCCATTCATCACTGATGGGCATTTGGGCTGTTTTCATTTTTTGACTATTATGAATAATGTCATTATGAACATTTGTTACAAGTTTTTATGTGGATGTATAGTTTCATTTCTCTTGGATATATACCTACAAGGGGACTTGCTAGGTCATATGGTAACTCTGTGTTTAACTTTTTATGGAACTGCCATGCTGTTTTTCCAAAGTGGCTGCATGATTTTACATTCCCATTAGCAATGGATTCTAATTTCTCCACATCCTTGCCAACACTTGTTATTGTCTATTTTGTTTTGTTGTTACGGCCATCTTAGGGGCTTTCTTTCTTTTCTGCTCTCTGAAGTCCTACCTCACTTGCTGGTTGAAACCTAGTATTTCACTTTTCATTCTCTATTTTAAATAATCTGAGGGTGATTGAAACTGCCAGGCTGCACAGTGTTTTAAGAATCCAGAAATTTCTAGCTAGCCTGCAATATTAGGAAGTTCTGGTAACATCGGGCAACAATTGGTTGGAAATTAGTAGGGCCCGTCAATGTTCACCATCTTCCACTGTCTTACACCTGAGTTGCTTTTTATGTTTATCTTTTTTACCTGGTTCCATAGATAACTGAATTTGAGGCTCCTGGTTAAAGCCATCTGACATAACTTAATTGTCAATGTTGAATCTCAGGGCAATAAATAAGGTACTCTAAAAATAAATCTAACTAAGGAGGCAGGCATAGAAACTTTATGAGGAAAATTATTAAAACTTCACTGAAAGAGATCAAAGAAGACCTAAATAAATGAAGAGAAATAACATGTTCAAGGATGGAAAGATTCAATTCTCCTTAACATAATCTAATTCAGTATAATACAATGAAAATTTCAACAGAATTACTCATGGAAATTTGACAAAATAATTCTAAAATCGATTGGAAAAGTAAAAGGCTAAGAATAACTTAAGACACTCCTGAAGAAGAATATGGTCGAGGGAGAGTTGCTCTACCAGATAATCACATGATTTACAAAGCTATAGTGATTAAGATGGTGTGATATTAGACTAATAATCAGTGGAACAGAATATAGAAGCTGGTAACAGAAACATGGACAATTTACAATTTATACATGAATAGATTTGGCATTGCAAATTATAAGGATTAAAGAAATATTAAAGAAATCATTCTGGGACAATTTGTTATCCATATGGGAAAAAATTCAGTCCTCACATGATATATAAAAATAAATTTTAAGCTGCTTAAAGACTTCATGTAGGCCAAAGCACAGTGACTCATACCTGTAATTCCAGCACTTTGGGAGGCCAAGGTGGGAGGATTGCTTGAGGCCAGGAGTTCAAGACCAGCTTGGGCAATATAGTGGGACTCCATCTCTGTAAAAAAATTAAAAAATTCATTGCATGTAGTGATGCACCCCTGTTGTCCCAGTTACTCAGAAGGCTGAGGGGGGAGGATCGCTTGAGCTCAGGAGGTTGAGGCTGCAGAAAAAAAAAGAGACTTCATGTGAAAAGCAAAACTTTAAAACATTTAGAAACAAATATACGAGAATATATGACATCAAGAGAAGAAGGAATTTTTAAGACACTAGAAACACATCCTCAATGAAAAATATTGATAAATGATATTTTTTCAGCAAAGGACAAACTGAAAAAATTGAAAAGACAATTCACAAAACGGAAGAAATAATTTCAAAACAGAAAATTGGCAAACAAAGATATTCAAAATATATAAAGAACTGCAAATCAATAAAAAAAGACAAACAACCTAATTAAAATATTCAGAGGAAAATTCAGAATGGCCAATAAATATATAAAAACATGCTAAATGTTATTATTCCTTATTATTCCTTTTTTCTAAATGTGATTTTCTTTGGTGACAAAGCCATAGGTATTCGACTGTGGTTTGTTGCCTACATTCATAAGTGAAAGATTTGTTAAATTTCAGTTACAGTTTGGTATTTTTTTTCTTTTTCTTGTTTTGAGACAGGCTGTCTCTCTGTTGCCCAGGCTGGAGTGCAGTGGCACAATCTCAGCTCACTGCAAACTCCACTTGCAGGCTCAGGCAATCCTCCCACCTCAGCCACCTGAGTAGCTGGGACTACAGGCATGCACCACCATGCCTGACTAATTTTTTTTTTTTTTTTTTGGAGATGTAGTTTCACTCTTGTTGCCCAGGCTGGAGTGCAATGGCATGATCTCGGCTCACCACAACCTCCGCCTCCTGGGTTCAAGTGATTCTCCTGCCTCAGCCTCCCGAGTAGCTGGGATCACAGGCATGCACCACCACATCTGGCTGATTTTTTTTGTATTTTTAGTAGAGACAGGGTTTCTCCATGTTGGTCAGGCTAGCCTTGAACTCCCGACCTCAGGTGATCCACCCGCCTCGGCCTCCCAAAGTGTTGGGATTACAGGTGTGAGCCACTGCGCCCGGCCTATGCCTGACTAATTTTTGTATTTTTGGTAGAGATGGGGTTTCACCATTTTGCTCAGGCTGATTTCGAACTCCTGGCCTCAAGCGATCCTCCCACCTTGGCCTTGCAAAGTGCTAGGCGTGAGCCACCGCACCCAGCCATTCATTAGATTAATTTATTAATAAAATAAAACTACTGTTGATGAGAAGAAATGAAAAAATCTGACACTTCCAAGTATTAACAGGGACATAGGCCAATGGGAACTAAAAATCACTGCTAAGTGGAGGAAAATTGTTAAAAATATATCCAGAAAACCATTTGTCATTATTTCAAATTTGAAGATGCCCATAACTTACCACTCAGCAACTGGAGCACTCACACCCCCATTCAGTAGAAGACAGGTACAAAAAATATTCTGGCAGCATTGTTTGTAATACCAAAAAAGAAAAAAAAAAAGGATCAACCATCAACAGAAGAATGGATAAATAGAATATATTTTGGTAGATTCATCTGATATGGTTTACATGTGTTGCCCCTACAAATCTCATGTTAAAATGTGATCGCGATGCTGGAGGTAGGCCTAGTGGGAGATGTTTGGGTTATGAGGGTGGATCCCTCATGAATGGCTTGGTGCTGTCCTCATAGTAATGCGTTCTCACTTTATGTTTTCATGTGAGATCTGGTTGTTTAAAAGAGTCTAGCACCTCCTCCCTGTCTCTCCTGCTTGCTCTTGCCTCATGATATGCCGGCTCCCCCCTTTGCCTTCTGACATAATATAAGTTTCCTGAGGCCTCACCTGAAGCAGATGCTGGTGCCATGCTGCTTGGATAGCCTGCCTAACCATGAACCAAATAAACCTCTTTTCTATATAAATTACCCAGTCTAAGGTATTCCTTTACAGCAATGCAAACAGACTAACACACACCTAATGGCATGCAATACAGTACTGAAAACAAATATGCTAAGGCAGTATGCATCAATGTATATAACAATTCTTAACAAATGAAATATTGAGTGAAAATGAAAGTTAGGAACATGTATGTTTATTATGTTTGAAGCATGCACAAAACTAAACAATGTCTTGATTAGGAGTACATTCACATGCAATAAAACTATAAGGATAAGCAAAGAAATGATAGAAAAGAAATTTCAGGAGAGTGACTAGTTAACTTCTGAGCAAGGGAGAGAAGATGTAATCAGGGAAAGATAAAGAAGAGGCTCCAATGTTATGCTTTATTTCCTAAAATAATAGGTTGTGGGTACATCTAGGTGTGTGTGTGCATCACATAAAGTAGTAAATCAAATCTCAGAAGAGGTTTTTTTTTTTTGTTGTTGTTGTTGTTTTGAGACAGAGTCTTGCTCTGTCACTGTCCCATGTAGCTGGGATTATAAGGGCATGCCACTGTGCCACCATGCCCGGCTAATTTTTGCATTCTTAGTAGAGATGGGGTTTCACCATGATGGCCAGGCTGGTCTCAAACTCCTGACTTCAAGTGATCCACCCGCCTCGGCCTCCCAAAGTGCTGGGATTATAAGTGTGAGCCACTGTGCCTGGCCTCAGAAGAGTTTTAATGAAGTAAGGATGCTGGGAGAGGAATGAGTTAACAGGGAATTGGGGTTGTGTAGAAGTATAAAATGGAGAAGGGGGGAGTTAAAGAAAGACTTGACTTAAGGATTGTATCCAAAGTTGGCCATTGCTAAGATAGTGGCTCTATTTCTTTCCATTTGAATCCTACAAAAAGAAAATTGAGAAACGTTACATATTTTCTCTTATTATTCTATATTAGGGGTTTCTACTCCTCAGGGCATAGAAACTAAAAGGGTGAAAACTATAATAAAGTAATTTCCTTTTTCCCTCTTTAAAGGGCGTGCTGAATTAGAAAGAGCACTGGTTTAAGAGTCAGGAACCCAATTTACTAGTTTTGCTCTGTTTTAATTAATCGTGTGACTTTGGGTAAATAATTTAGCCTAATTGAACCTCAGTTTCCTAAAAAGATGATTTCTAAAGCTTAGCTTTAAGTTCAGTTATTCCAATGAGTTAGAGAGTCTCTCAACCAAAAAGCAAGTAGTCATGTACATTTATCATTTTAATAAAGATATATTCTATTAATTTGGAAAAGCTGAAGACAGTATTAATTTTCCTCCCACAGTCTTAATGAAGAAATAAAGAAACTAATTTTCCATTACCATTCAAGGGGCAATCCACTCCTTCACAGATTGTGAAATTAATGTAACAGATCCAACCAACTGAACAATCTATGCATCTTTCTTCCCCTCTCCAATTCCAAGCCTTGGAACTGTATTTTACATTAAAAAGTTTAAAAGTTAACTAAAAATTAATGCAGTTTTAAGACTGCAGCTTACATATAATATAATGAAGTTAGAGCAAAATATCTGCAGTGTCCAGTATCTTTGAGTAAGTAACATTTATTATTACCTATGTCTGAAGCACAGCAGATGTTGTGATCTTTACTAATTATAATTTCCCTAATTAAAATAACTTGTACCTACGATGCATGCTTTTCCTAAGTTATTCAGGATGGTAAGCAGATATTAAATCATTTATCTTTACAACATATCAATGAAGCTAGTAGGAGCAAGTATTGTTCTCATTATTTAAAGGAGAAGATTAAAAGTCAAGGATTAGGTCATGATCACACAGTAATTTTTTTGTCATGAACATTAAGACGAGAACCAAAGAAATGTATATATTCCTCCCCCATCCACCTTCCTTCCTATTTAGGGGCAATTCTCTGTTGTGTTTAACTCTTGTGGGATGCAGGGTCTGCCTTCCACTACTGAAACCAAAGAGCGGGGATGTTTCTTTTCCCTGGCTTGTTGCAGCAAGGGTAAGGGCACATTATCTAGGCTCCAGGATCTGGAAACTCCAACTCAGGGATTGACACAGATGCAGAAAGAATTTAGGAATTACTTGTAATGCTCAAGACAGCAAGTCTACAGTCCAGTCCTGTGTGTGACCCCTCTCCGCCCCCTAGCGTCCTAACCAGACTCTTCCTCTATTATTGTCTAGGTTGTGTCTCTTGCTACTTAGGCTCCTTTAGCTTCTGCCATTTTCTGGATCTACTCCTCCATGCTTCTTATTTTGTGAGCTCACAATATCCTTCCAATAAATTCTCTTCTGCTTATGTTAGCCAGAGCTGATTTCAGTTGCTTGCACACAAGAACACAGGTTCCCTTAACCTTACTTCTGTTGAAGGCATCATATTTTATCCCTAAATTGTCCTGGATGCTTATGATGTTTAAGTTTTGCATTACATTTAAACGTTTCTCTACCATATTAGTTGAAGTTTAGCTGCAAAATCATAATGAGCTTGTAAATATGGCCTTTAGGAGAATGTCAAACACATATTTTTTACTGGGCCTAATTAATAAGGTTAAAATGGAATTCTATCTATTATATGCTGCAAGAAAAAGCAAGATACAGGACAGTATGTATAGAATGATTTTAATTTTATAGACCTATATGTGAATAGAAAAAAGTACTGGCAGAATAGATAATGAAAATATTAATAGGAATAATGTCTGAGTAGTAGGATTATAAATTAGAGTTCTGTGTGCTTTATTTGGCATTAAACAATTAACATATATTATTTCATAATTATGGAAAACCATAATAATTTAAAAGTTTGTTTCTTAGATAAACTTACGAAGGTAGAAAAATATTTCTTATCTTATAAAAGCAGGAAGAATAGTATTCATCACTTGGCTTCAACAATTATCAATTTATGGCCTTTTTTTTTTTCTTTGAGACGGAGTCTCGCTATGTCTCCTAGGCTGGAGTGCAGTGGCACAATCTCAGCTCACTGCAACCTCTGCCTCCCAGGTTCGAGCGATTCTCCTGCCTTAGCCTCCTGAATAGCTGGGACTACAGGCACATGCCACCACGCCTGGCTAATTTTTGTATTTTTAGTAAAGACTGGGTTTCACCATGTTGGCCAGACTGGTCTCAAACTCCTGACCTCAAGTTATCTGCCCACCTCGGCCTCCCAAAGTTTTGGGATTACAGGTGTGAGCCACCGCGCCCAGCCCACATGGCCTGTCTTGTTTTATCTGATGTGTTCCTTACTCCCCACTCATGCTAAATTATCAGCATAGAAAGACTTTTTTTCTTATAATTGGTTATTCCTTCTTTTCCGTATGTTATTTTCCCTTTTAGGAATTCTTATTCAATGACTTTTTCTCCCACACATCTATTCCTTATTCTGATATTTTTTTTCCTTTATCCTTTCTTTAATTTGGTTAAATTTCTGAGTTTGCCTCCTGATCTACTAATTCTGCTTCCAACTTTGTTGTACACATGCTTTTAATTTTGGGAATCATGTTTTAAATACAATCTTTTCTGTTCTCAAATTGTTTCATTTTTATAAATGTTTATTTTGTTCTCATAAATGCAATTTATTCTTGGATCTTATGGAGAAAAAGAATCAGAAAATTTTCTAAACTTTTCTCTAAACATGCTTTTCTAGTGAATTTATTTTAGAGGGAGCCATTCTTCTGATTATGCTCGGTCAGGGTGGGCAAACTAAAGTTGCCTGTTTTTGTACTAAGTTTTATTGTAATACAGCCACATCCATTCATTTACATAGTACCTGTGGCTACTTTTGCACAATTCAGGCTACAGTAGTTGCTTTCTTGCTACAGTGCAGGACAGAGTTGTGACAGAGGATGTATGGCAGGGGTGTCCAATCTTTTGGCTTCCCTGGGTCACACTGGAACAAGAAGAATTATCTTGGACCATACATAAAACACACTAACACTAACAATAGCTGCTGAGCTAAAAAAAAAAAGTTGCCAAAAAAAAATCCCATAATGTCATAAGAAAGTTTATGAATTTGTGTTGGGCTGCATTCAAAGCTGTCCTGGGCCACATGCAGCCCACAAGCCATGGGTTGGACAAACTTTATGTATGGCATGCAAAACCTAAATATTTACTATCTGGCCCTTTCTAGAAAATATTTGTTGGCCTCATTTCTAGGTAGCTCTTACTCTTGAATTTCAGAATGTTTTCCATGGGTCTAGAGATTTTCCTTTATTTCCTTTCATTATCAGCAGGGGTTAGTGGTGCAGGCCGAAAGAGTGAGGGTCGTGATCAATTCAGTATACCACTGGAAGCTATACGAGTAAACAGCAAATTGTTTTCATAAATGCAGGATGTTGGCAAACTGACAAACTGCGTCCACTGCCCAGAAGGAATGCTGAGGGCAGTCACACCCAAAGTGCAGTGCTTCTTGTGATTAGGCATATTTGAAGCCTGTTAGCAATAATGTGAACCTGTGATCAATCAAACAGCTGACCAATCGTTACCTCCTCCTCCCTGCTCTTTCTACCCAATAAATAGGAAGGGCTGTAGAAGCTCAGGGTGGCTGCTCTTGCTCACTAGAAGCAGGGAGCCCTCTTCTTCTTCCCTGGACCCCTTCTTAAAAACAGATTATTTTGTCTTAAGTTTTCATTTCTGCATTCGTCTTCCTTCACTCAGACCCATAGTAGCAGTGGCAAACCGCGGCAGGTTAGTACCAGAATCAAACAGATGCTTTTTCAAATTCTGTCTGCCTGGGGCCCATGTCAGACCTATCAGATCAGAATTCTTAACTGTGCCGGCCTTTTTGCTCACATAATCCTGAGTAAGAATTTTCTAACCATTTTGCCTTTAAGGCCAGCTCTGTGATTTGGACCTGGGGAGGCTAACCACCTGAAAGAAGTCTATTTGGAAGACTTTTCTCTCGTTTCTTTCTTTCTTTCTTTTTTTTTTTTTTTGAGACAGGTCTTGCTCTGTCACCCAGGCTGCCAGGCTAGAGTGCAGTGGCATGATCTCAGCTCATTGCAACCTCCGCCTCCTGGGTTCAAGCAATCCTCCCGCCTCAGCCTCCCGAGTAGCTGGGACTACAAGTGTGCACCACCTCGCCTGGCTAATTTTTATATTTTATGTAGAGATGGGGTTTCACCGTGTTGCCCAGGCTGGTCTTGAACTCCTGGGCTCAAGGGATCCCCCCACCCGCCTCAGCCTCCCAAAGTGCGGGATGATAGGGGTGAGCTACCATGCCTGGGCAGTGACTAGCTTTTTTCTCCATGATTTTTCCTGTGTCTCCTTTGTGTCAACACCAATCAACAGGAATCTAAGTGTTATTTTAAGAGGTTTGGCTTTCACAAAAATAGCTACATTCAATAATGGAAATAAACTTGGATTTTTAACCTCCTTTAACTAGTTTTCTGCTTACAGCAAAGATTATACACATATTAGTCAGGAAGTTCACATAGGGCAATGTGAGTTAAACCCATTATTATCTTGGGTCAAATTAGTTTACTACTTCATAACAAGAAAAGAGGACTTTCCAAAAATGAGTCTTAGATCCTGCAAAGGCCACAAAATGAACCACAGATTTGGAATTAGCTATAGCTTGTTTAACTTTGGGAAAAGTATTTGAAATCTTTGGGCTTTAATTATTGGCATTGTAGTTTGAATTGAGAATTTTATTTCCTTCTTGCTCTAAAATTCTTTAATGCTATACTTGAGTATAGGCCTGTGACTGGTCAGCTCCAGTTGAGTCTCCACAGAGAAGCACTTGGTGGCTCAGAGGGCTAGTCAGGAGCAGGGGGGAAAGGCATAAAGATGTGGAAATTAACTGAAAAATAATACCATAGCTTTTCCCAAGACTGGTCTAGGTCTCTCTTGCTATGTCTTGTGGAATTTTTAACTGACTTCATATGGATGTTTCAAGCCGCATTTGGCCAAAATATCAATTTGTATGGTAGATAAATCTGATCTGAAGGATTTTCTTCAGAAAATTACCTCAAGTTGGCTTTGTGTTTTATATTTTTGTTTAACTTAGACCCACATTTTGGATATAGTTTCTTACACTTGACTTGACTCACTGAACTCTATGAATAAAGGGGCCCAGCAAGCATTTTAGTATATTTTATAGCAGTATAAGTTTTAAGAGCTCTTTCATCCTTTTCCTACTTATGTGGAATGCTTATTAATGTCACAGGGATTTACTATGATTGAAATAAAGGGAGTCTGTGACCTTGGAAAGTTTGTAAGCAGTCTTTAGGTGCATAAATGGTATAACTTGTTTATGAACATCAAATAAAAGTTCAAATAGCATTAACATGAAAAGCAGAAAATAAGATGTGGAAGATATGTCTATATCATTAACTGAAGAGAATTGAAAGAGAAATTAAATTAATTATCTGGGTAACTGCCTCATTTTTTCACTCTTAAGGCTGGGACACTATTGTTAGAAACTCACTCTACTCAGCCTGAGTAATGGAAGAGCCTTCTTTGAGATACAAGGTTCTGTATGTTCGAATTAGTGTATCAATGATTGCAGAGATAGAACTACTTTCTGATGACTTTTTTCTGTTCTCTTAAGGTGGTTTGTCTCTGTATCCACTCCTTTATTCTGCAGTTTGAGTCAGGGAAAGAACAGGTAAGTGTTTAATCTATATTCTGAACTAATTTTGAAGGAAGAAGCAGGTGAAGGTTGGGCAGAGGATGAACATTCACTACATACTTTGGCATTAGTGGAGTCTCTTTTTAATGTAAATACTCAATGAAGAATATTCCTACTTTGAATCAAAAGCATCCAAACAGGGCTTAAGTAAACCTTTGTTTTGAGGTTATAGACTAAATCTTTTTTGTTTGTTTGTTTTTACATTAGAGACTATCATAAAACAAATGGACTAAATCTTTAACCACAGTATGAAAATAAGAAGAAGGAAGAGAATATGGAAGGCTCAGGGCAACCTATTCACTATTTCTGGGAAAATACTTGTCTTATTGCACAAAGGAATAGTTCAGTATTTGAAACCATAGGCAAAAGGTAGGGTCAGTTGGCTATTAACGTGAAAACTGAGCTAATTCAAATCTCCTGGCCACCTCTAGTGTTTTAAGCACTCACTTCTAGTTTGTAAAGAAAACTCCTGACTATGAAAAGTTACTAGAAATTATATCTTTGGCTGGCACCAGTGGCTCACACCTGTAAACCCAGCACTGTTGGAGGCTAAGGCAGGCAGATCACCTGAACCCAGGAGTTCGAGACCTGCTTGGGTGAAACCCTGTATCTACTAGAAATACAAAAATTAGCGGAGCGTTGTGGTGTGCGCCTGTAGTCCCAGCTACTCGGGAGGCTGAGGCAGGATAATCACTTGATCTTGGGAGGCAGATGTTGCAGTGAGCTGTGGTTGTGTCACTGCACTCCAGCCTGGGCAACAGAGTGAGATATTGTCTCAAAAAAAACGAAATGATGTTTTCAATTTGACAAGAATACCAGGTTTAGGTTGGGTGTGGTGGCTCAAGCCTGTAATCCCAGTATTTTGGGAGGCCGAGGTGGGTGGATCACTTGAGGTCGGGAGTTCGAGACTAGCCTGGTCAACATGGTGAAACCCTGTCTCTACTAAAAATAAAAAAAAAATTAGGTAGGTGCTGTGGCATACACCTGTAGTCTCAGCTATTCAGGAGGTTAAGGCAGAAGAATCGCTTGAACCTGGGATGGGGAGGTTGCAGTGAGCTGAGATTGTGCCACTGCACTCCAGCCTGGTGACAGAGCGAGACTCTGTCTCAAAAACAAACAAACAAACAAACAAAACACCAGGTTTAATAAATTACCCACAAAATGATTACATACTGCACTTTTAGATCATAATTTAGTTAAAGATATCCAGACATGATTAGCAGTCTAATCTTCAAATATAAAGAAAAATCTATAGCATTATGTCACATTATACTATCTAGGATAATTGATTAATGCATACTATTTCAGGCATGGCAATATAGGATAGCTGCCATTTCATGGCACTATACAAAGTTCAAGATCTAGTCAAGCTAAAGGTATAAAAATTCAATTTTATATGTTCCCTTATGGAATTGACTAAATAATTGAATCCTATGAACTAAATTGATAAGTGATTTGTTAATATTTACTAAAAGGTGCATGCTGTTTAGTACATTAGTCTATTAGTGAAGACAAACTAGTATCAAAAATTATGGTAAATACTGGCCAGGTGTGGTGGCGCACGCCTGTAATCCCAGCACTTTGGGAGGCCAAGGCAAGTGGATCACCTGAGGTCAGAAGTTTGAAAAGACCCTGGCCAACATGGTGAAGCCCCGTGTCTACTAAAAATACAAAAATTAGCCAGATGTGGTGGCGCACATCTGTAATCCCAGCTATTCAGGAGGCTGAGGCAGAATCGCTTGAACCTGGGAGGAAGAGGTTGCAGTGAGCCGAGATCACGCCACTGCACTCCAGCCTGGATGACAGAGCAAGACTCCATCTCAAAACAAAATAAAACAAACACAAACAAACAAACCTTATGGTAAATACGATGGCTCAGGCCTGTAATCCCAGCACTTTGGGAGACCCAGGCTGGCAGATCACTTGAAGCCAGAAATTTGAGACCAGCCTGGCTATCATGGTGAAACTCTGTCTCTACTAAAAATCCAAAAAAGAAAAAAAAAAAAAAGAAAAATTAGCTGGGCATGGTGGTGCACACCTGTGGTCTCAGCTACGTGGGAGGCTGAGGCATGAGAATTGCTTGAACCTGGGAGGCAGAGGCTGCAGTGAGCTGAGATCATGCCACTGCACTCCAGCCTGGGCAACAGAGCAAGACTCTGTCTCAAAAAAATTATGGTAAATAGTTTCAGAAAACAGGGATAATCTGAAGCTGTGATAGCCAGGTACAAGAGGTTCTCCTCCATAGCAGTAGTTATTAGTGAGTGGTTCACACACTTTAGTGTAATAATCACCAGGAATTGCTTGTTAGAACAATCTTTATGATGTAGGATGAGTTTCTGTTAGGAAGAATTCTGTATACAGTATATGTAAGCTCATCAATTGCTTGTTGATGCTTGTAACTTGCTTTTATATTTTGGTATACAGCTTTTTCCTTGATCATCTATCACTTTACAGAAGTGTACAATCTTAGCAAAATGGTGTCATGTCATATTAACCAATATTCTCACAATTGGTGATACTAATGAAGACTCTGAGGGATGAGAAGATGATGACAACATTTTTGATTCACTAAGATTAAATTATGGTTGGTGTGTTTTTATATTTTAAGAACATTTTCCTGTGTTTTTTGGTCATGCCTTCATGATATTAGTAACTTTTTATAAATAAAACTTTGAATTAATTAGACATTTCATATAGTAATAATACCAGAAAAAAAGAGAACGAGAGAACTATAAATGTTAGTGCAGCAGGCAGTCATCTATGAAGTATGATATTTGGAAGGACCTAACTGATAGAAAATATCTTTTTTATAGGCTGTTACTGTGACTGAAATTTGGCTATCAGAGATATTGATTTGCATATGATTAACAGATATTGAGTTTTCACTGTGTATCTAGTGCTTTATATTCATTGTCTCAACTGACTCTCATAATAATCCAATAAAATATGTAATGTTTTATCTCTGATTTAAAGATGAATAATTTAAGGTCCTCTTCTCTATGTTCTCTTCCTGGGTGATCTAACCGAGTTCCATGGATTACACACATTATGCTATTCACTTCCAAATTTGTATTTCCAGCTGAGACCCTTCTTTAAGCTTCAGACTCAACATTTCCAGTTGCCCTTTTGACTTTTCCATGTGGATGTCTCATAGATACATTAAACTTGACATCTGCAAAAATAGAACCACCGATTTTTGTAGCAGATGCTATTGATTGCCTACTTAACTCCATTTTCTCCTTCTTTGTTATTGGCAGAGTTATAATTTTGTTAGTGTTTGTTTTTTTTTTTTTGAGATGGAGTCTCACTCTGTTGCCCAGGCTGGAGTGCAGTGGTGCGATTGCCGCTCACCACAACCTCTGCCTCCCAGGTTCAAGCGATTCTCCTGCCTCAGCCTCCCAAGTAGCTGGGACTACAGGTGTGTGCCACCACGCCGGGCTAATTTCTGTATTTTTAGTAGAGACGGGGTTTCACTATGTTGGCCAGGCTGGTCTTGAACTCCTCACCTCATGATCTGCCCGCCTTGGCCTCCCAAAATGCTGGGATTACAGGCGTGAGCCACTGCGCCCAGCCAGTTAGGATTTCTGTACCCCTACCCACCATGTGGATTGGGGAAGATGGCTCTGTCTCCAGCTCTAGGAGTAACTCTTGATTTATATAAGCCAGCCATGGATATCCCATTCCTTTGTCAGTGATTGGTTTAAGATAGGCATGTGAATGAGTTTGAGCCGATGAGATATGAGCAGATGTCTGCCAGAAAGTTTCTGGAAAGATTTTTCTCCCTTTAAGTAGTCACTAGACTACCCAGCCTTCTTCCTTTTTATGTTGTTGTATATAAATGTGATGCTCAGAACTAAAAGCAATCTCGCTGCCTATATGAGGATGGAGCCAACACTGGAGGAGGGCAAAACAAAGAGACTAAGGAATAGAGCAAGTGATTTCACAAATCACATCAGGAATCCTCCATCTCTTGACTTCCTATTATCTGAGACAATAACTTTATTGACAACTCAATTTAAGTTGAATATTTCTGTTATTTGCAGCCGAGGCATCCTGATAACAATTTTTTTGCCCCTAAAGTGTTGACTTTCCTCCTCCATTTTATTAAATGGTTATACTATCTACTCAGGTGCTTAAGCAGGAACCCTAAGACTCATTACTTCACTCTTCTTCTCCTACTTCGTCCTAAATCCTTGACTAGGCCTGCAACTTGGAGGAGAGGAATAAGAGAGAGGGAAAGAGAAGTATACTATTACTCTGAAGTTTCCATCTTAATTAACTGAAAGGATGGTGCCATCATTAACATAAGTAAAGGGGTCCAGAAGAGGTGTTAGTTGAGGGGGCCAAAAAAGATAAATTTTATACATATGTTGAGTTTGTTTTATTGCTTTTCATTAAATTTTGAATTAAAAGCTCAAAAGAAAACCTATTCTATTAGGAAAAAAGCAAAAGTCTTATTAAGAGTATGCCTAATCTCAATTTTATAATAAGAATAACTTTTAAAAATATATAGATGAAGTCTCACTGTGTTGCCCAGGCTGAAGTGCAGTGGCTTGATCATAGTCCACTGCAACCTTGAATTCAAGAATAATGTTTGACTTTTTCTCCCATGTACATTATATCTAAAATAAGGTTAAATAAAATAAATAAATAAATAAATAATAAGTTCACATAAAACCTCTCCCATGGTGTATGTAGTACATCTTCTAGATAATTATTTGTAGTTGATTAATCCATCATACTAATATTGACACTTAAAATTCAATAGCTAATTGACATGTTACTATATTATATACAAAGTAAAAAGCTAGAGTGAAAATTCAATACATACAGCAAATTTTAGAAAGATTTCAACTACAGTTTGTGGTGCTATCAATTATTACATGAAAATTTTAATATGCAACTCTGACTATAAATATTTATCCATTAATATTTATTAAATGTATGTTATGTGCCAAGCACTGCGCTGAGGTTACAGATACAAAGATGAATATGATACATTCTCTGCCCACAAGCATGGAAAGAAATAACTATAATGAAATGTGGTAAGTGCTGTAACTATAACAAAGTTATAAGCACTTGTTTTTACTATAGCATTTAAGTAGGCTGCAGAAACCTATTCATTTACTTCGTGCATATAAGTTATTCTTTGATGTAGATATTATCTCCTGTTATTCTCCTAGGGAGTCACTGTGCTTATTCACAACCAATTCTAACCAGCTCTAGGTCTAATAGTGTAGGATATGAAAACTGATTACAGAGAACCTAGTTTGGGAGACATGTAAATATGCTTACTCCCTTTACTACATCAAGTAAAAATGACATACTTTCATTCTGACAATTATGGTTAGGACTGGATTAAGACAGTCTGAGGCTTTAATCTATGTTAAGTGTAAAAATAATTCCAAATTGTAATAAAGATTCACATTCTATTCATTAAAAAAAACCCACAGGCTGGGCATGGTGGTTTATGCTCAGGAGTTCGAGACCAGGCTGGGAAATATGATAAAACCCTGTCTATACAAATAAATACAAAAAATGGGGCCAGGCATGGTGGCTCATGCCTGTAATCCCAGCACTTTGGGAGGGTGAGGTGGGCAGATCAGTTGAGGTCGGGAGTTCGAGACTAGCCTGGCCAACATAGTGAAACCCCATTTCTACTAAAAATACAAAAATTAACTGAGCGTGGTGGCGCAGGCCTGTAATCCCAGCTACTCAGGAAGCTGAGGCAGGAGAATCACTTGAACCTGGGAGGTGGAGGTTGCAGTGAGCTGAGATTGTGCCACTGTATTCCAGCCTGGGTGACAGAGTGAAACTCTGTCTCAAAAAAAAAAAAAAAAAATGAAAAGAAAAAAAATTAGCCAAGTGTGGTGGTGCACTCCTGTGGTCTTAGCTACTTGTGGGGCTGAGGAGGGAGGATCGCTTGAGACCAGGAGGTAAGGCTGCAGTGAGCCAAGATTGCACCACTGCACTCCAGCCTGGGTGACAAAATGAGACTCTGTCTCAACGCCCCCCCCCAAAACAAACAAACAAACAAAAACGCAAAAACCAAACAAAAACCCACAGACTTTGTAGTGAAAAAAAAGTGTTTAATTTGCATATATGTAAAGTTACATTAGATTAACTAAGAGGGGAAAATGGGGACAGAAAAAAGGGAAACAAGAGAGCATGTGGTAGAAAGAGGAAGAACTTCCCATTACCTGTGCTTGGAGTTAGATGCCTGATTAGCCACTGAAAATATCTTTGCTTACTCATTCATGAATTCATTTAACCAATTTATACATACTGAGTTCCTAAAAATTGTAATGACAATAATAACGAATAATAAGATGGGGCACAGTGGTTCACGCCTGTAATCCCAGCACTTTGGGAGGCCAAGGCAGGAGGATCACTTGAGCCCAGGAGTTTGAGACTAGCCTGAGCAACACAGGGAGACCCCTGTCTCTACAAACAAACAAAATAGCTGGGCATGGTGGCGTGCGCCTGTGGTCCCAGCTACTCAGAAGGCTGAGGTGGGGATCACTGGGGCCCAGAACCCCTGGGGCCCAGGAGGTTGAGGTTGCAGTTAGTGGTGATTGTGCCACTGCACTCCAGCCTGCGTAGTGAGCGAGACCTCGTCTAAAATACTAATACAACAGCTCATACTTTTTGAATGCTTACTATCGGCCAAGCACAGTGCTATGCACTTTGTGCACCTTATCTGTCATATTTGTATCTTAGAGGTAGGTACTACAGGTTGGGTGTCCTTTCTCCAAAATGCTTTGGTGTTTCAGATTTCAGGGTTTTCGGATTTTGAAATATTTGCACATACACAACAGGATATGTTGGGTTAGAGACCCAAATCTAAACACAAAATTCATTTATGTTTCCTATGCACCTTATGCATATAGCCTGATGGTGATTTTATACAATATTTTTAATAACTTTGTGCATGAAACAAAGTTTTGACGGCAGTCTGTCATGTGAAGTCCAGTGTGGCATTTTCCACTTGTAGCATCACGTTGGTGCTCAAAAAGTTTCAGATTTTGGAACATTTAGGATTGCAGATTTTTGGATTAGGGATGATCATACTGTATCATTACTCCCATTTTACCAATGTGGATTTTGAGGCACAGAGAGGTCAAATGCCTTGCCCAATGTCCTGAGCTAGTAAATGGCAGAGTCAGGATTTGCACCAAGCCATTTGCTCTTAAGCACTGTGCTGTGTGCCATCTACTGTGCTAGCCATTGGGGATTTAAAAGTAAATATGACAAAGTCCCTGTCCTCAAAAAGTTCACAGTCTATTAGGAGAGAGAAAGTGTATACAGACAATTGCAAGGGCCTATGATAAATACTACAATAAAGATATGTAGAGTCGAGTGATTGCACCAAGCAGGGAATGATTAGTTCTACTTAGATGGGAGTGGAGAGTTGATGAAATTTCAAAGAGGGGACCTGTGAACTGGAATTTAAAGGATGAGAAAGTGTTTTTAGATAGGCCTAGAGACAGTAAAGAGCATCCAGGTAGAGGAAGCAGCATGTACAAAGAAAGGCAAAGTGAACTGCTGGTTGTGGCAGAGTCAGGATATGCCAGGCAAGTGGAGGAAGATGTACAGAGTTCTAAACTTGTTTTTTGTTTTTTGAGACAAGGTCTCTCTCTGTCACCCTGGCTGGAGTGCAGTAGTGCAATCATAGCTCACTGCAGTCTCAAACTCCTGGGCTCAAGTGATCCTTCTGCCTCAGCCTCCAAAGCAACTGGGACTATAGATGTGTGCCACCATTCCTGGCTCATAGATGCAGTTTCTAACTGCTGATAGAAACAGTTAGGTTTCTTTAAATGTTCACATGTATCATGACTTGAAAGTGATATCCCCAAAGTGAAAATAATGGTTAAGTCCTTTAACTTTTTAAGTTGTTACTTTTTTTTTTTTTTTTTTTTTTTTTGAGGCAGTCTCAGTCTGTCACCCAGGCTGGAGTGGAGTGGTGTGATCTCGGCTCACTGCAACCTCTGCCTCCTGGGTTCAAGCGATTCTTACGCCTCAGCGTCCGGAGCAGCTGGGATTACACAGGCACCTGCCACCATGCCCGGCTCATTTTTGTATTTTTTGTAGAGACGGGGTTTCTCTATGTTGGCCAGGCTGGTCTCAAATTCCCAACCTCAAGTGGTCCACTCACCTTGGCCTCCCAAAGTATTGGGATTACAGGCATGAGCCACCACAGCTGGCCGAAAAACCCCTTTATAAGGGCATCACATCCTATTCTCCCCTCATGACTCAATCGTCTCCTAAAGGCCACACCTCATAACACACTTGCTTTGGAGATTAAGTTTCAACATGAATCGTGGACAGGACAAAAACATTCAAACCATAGCACTGATCATTGGGGAAATTGCATGGGGTTAGGAGGGCATTCAGAGGTGATTACATTCAACTCATTAGCCTCTCTACACCTTAGTTTTCTAATAGGCAAAAAGTGCATAGTAATAGGATTGTTGTGGAGACTAAGATGAGATGATGTATGTAAAAACACTTAGCTCATTGTCTGGCACATAGTAAATTATCGTAAATATTAGTTATTATTAGAGTATAGCTGTTATGGTTGGTAAATACCAAATTGAAAGGTCATAGTCCATTTATTCATTCATATGAATTTATTTGGCATTTACATGCCAGGCATTGTGCTAGATTCTGGTAAGCAAGTGAACAAAATTCATCTCTGTTTTCACGAAGCTTGTGTCCTAGGATACAGTTAATAAATATACCAGACGAGATGGTGATTGTGCTACAGAGAATAAAACAAGGTGGGGTCAAAGTAGGGGATGTGCATGGGTGTTACTATGGGGTAGTTAGGAATGCTTTCCCTAAAAAGGTGACATCTGGGCAAACGCTTGGAGAAAGGGAAGGAGTAAAAAGAATTCCAGACAGATTTTTACTGGAAAACGTGGTTAAAAATTTGAGGGCGGGGGGCCGGCTGCGGTGGCTCATGCCTGTAATCCCAGTACTTTGGGAGGCCAAGGCGGGCAGATCACCTGAGGTCAGGAGTTCAAGACCAGCCTGGCCAACATGGTGAAACCCCGTCTCTACTAAAAATACAAAAATTAGCCAGGTGTGGTGGCAGGCGCCTGTAATCCCAGCTACTCGGGAGGCTGAGGCAGGAGAATCGCTTGAACCCGGGAGGCGGAGGTTGCAGTGAGCTGAGATCGTGCCATTGCACTCCAGCCTGGGGGACAAGAATGAGACTTTTTCTCAAAAAAAAAAAAAAAATTTGAGGGCAGGAACCACTTCTTTTACATTTTGGTAGCATGCAAAAACAATGTAGGCCTGAAACATATTACATTCTTATTGAATGACTATTCAACATAACATACTGAAACATAGCATTAGTTAGGTGCTTAAAATAGGTGTGATTATCAGTATAATTAGAACTGCAGTTTTTTTTCTATTTCACTTTAAAAATTAAGCAACTTTTCTTTTCTTTTTTTTTTTGACAGGGTTTTGCTCCATTGCCTAGGCTGGAGTGCAGTGGTGCAGTCTTGGGTCACTGCAGCCTTGACCTCCCAGGCTCAATCTATCCTCTTGCCTCAGCCTCCCAAGTAGCTGGGATTACAGCCGCACGCCACCATGCCCGGCTGATTTTTGTATTTTTGGGTAGAGACGGGGGTCTCACCATGTTGCCTAGGCTGGTATCGAACTCCTGACCTGAAGCAATCCTCCCACCTCAGCCTCCCAAATTGTTGGGGTTACAGGCATGAGCCAGTGAACCCTCACACCCGGCTAACATTTATTTTTTGAATTAGTAACACATTCACATGAAGCAAACATCAAAAAGTATAAAAAGCTATTCAGTGAAGTCTCCCTCTCTCTCCCGTTCCCATCCACACACTTCCCATTGCTCCCCACAGGTAATACTTACTCATTTTTCTTTCATCTTTCCAAAGACTTTTTTTTTAAAAAACGAATATATCGGGAGGCTGAGGCAGGAGAATGGCATAAACCTGGGAGGTGGAGCTTGCAGTGAGCCGAGATCGCGCCACTCCACTCCAGCCTGGGCGACAGAGCGAGACTCCGTCTCAAAAAAAAAACCAAAAACAAACCGAAAACAAACAAAAACAAAAAAGAATATATAAGCCAATACATGTTGTACTTAAGGAAAAACATCAAATATCCAGGTATCTTTTCCGAAGCTTGTATTTAAAAAGAAAATAAAATCAATCATATTTTGCCCCAGATGCTCAAGATTACCCACGTATCTTAGGCTAATGACCTTCAAGCCGGAAGTGCCCTAGGGCGGGAAAAGGTGAACCGGAAGGGCCAACAGGAGCTAGAGGCGCGCTTCGCTGAGGTAAGTCGGAGCAGTCACAAGCGTGTAGTTGGGCTGTTTAGGAAGCAGCCCTAATCTTTTCATGCAGGGTCCACTTACGGGTTTGCCCTGCACCTCCAGCTGCGTAACCTACCCTTCCTTGCTCTGGTTGCCAAGGGGCTGCTTTGGCCTGGAGCCTCCTGACTGCTGGGCTGTGTCTAGAATCTTCCACGCTCCCGACCCAGGAGAAGCAGCCACACTGAGGCATCCATCTGGATCTCTGCTTGGGCAGGATTGAGACTGCGGGTGAGTCATGAGGGTCTCGTCTGTTCATCGTGGAGAAGCGCCTTCTGTACATGTGCCTTGCGTGGTGGTGGTTTTTGTTTTAAACCTCATATTTGCCTTATGAATGCAATGCAATCATGTCGATTGTTCTTCTGAAAATTTTCAAACAACTCTGACCGCTCAGAGTTAGCAACATTTGGAACTGTTATTGGTGAATCTCGACTTTTTCTTTGGTGAACGTTACTTTTTGCAGAATGTTTTAAGTATAGTGCGAAAGTTCTAGCGCAGTTGCAGAAGTGTGTAAATTCCCAGGGACATTTCTCTATTTTTTCTTCATTCTGCTGGTGATTTTGTTTCTCCCAAACTGCCTTGCACGAGCAAATTTAAATGGAATCTCACTGGGAATGAAATGACTGCCCTGCTAATCCTGATAATGCTGAATTCTAGATATAAATTATTTGGTCGGGGCGGTGGCTCACATCTGTAGTCCCAGCACTTTGGGAGGCCGAGGCGGGCGGATCACCTGAGGTCAGGAGTTTGAGACCAGCCTGGTCAACATGGTGAAACCCCGTCTCTACTAAAAATACAAAAATTAGCCGGGCGTGGTGGCGGGCACCTGTAGTCCCAGCTACTCAGGAGGCTGAGGCAGGAGAATTGCTTGAACCCGGGAGGCGGAGGTTGCAGTGAGCCTAGATCACTCCACTGCACTCCAGCCTGGGCAACAGAGCGAGACTCTGTCTAAAAAAATAAAATAAAATAAAATAAATTATTCATGTCATTGCTGCAATCTTCCACTTCACTTTGCTGCTGAAAATAAGTGACAACCCTTAAGTCATTTATGGGAACCTTTATGATCAGTGCACTTCTTTTAGAAAGAAAATGTGAAGATTCCACGGAGTCTTCTGCTTATATTGAGATCCTCGAATTGATGATTATTGGTTATTTTGCTTTAGTTGTGATAAATTCCTATGGCTCTCTTTGTTTTATACCTTGAAGAAAAAATCTATACTGAAATATCCCAACCTGAGAATCAGCAAATACGCTGTGGATGGAGTTTCCTCTGTAGTCCTTCACTGGTGTCTTCTCTCAGCCATTTCTTCGGCCAATTTGAGTCTTTACAACTCTCCCTGGTTTCAGGGTTGCCTTGGGGGTAGTTGTTAAGTTTTGGAAAATTAGATTCCCCACTTTGATGATTTATAAAGTGTGTTAATGCAGCTTGAGAAAACGTTTTAATTTCCATACGGCTTCATATCGTAGTGTCAGGAAGGAAGCGAATGACAGATTTTTAAATTCCGAGTGTCCACCAGGCGGCAGCATAGGGTTTTTAGTTTCTTTCGCTCTGGCCGTGTATCCCGTAATAACTGTACAGGTGCGGTGATAGTGTTATTCTAATAGTAATAGATATCATATGTGGAATGCTTATTACACGCCAGGGGCTGGAAGTTATCTCATTTAATCCTAAAAAAACAAACCCCAAACCCTGTACCGTAGGTATTCCCAGTATTCTCCTTACACTTCATGGGAAAACCATGGGAAAGAGATTAAATAACAATGCAAGGCTGATTACACAGCCGACAAGTGGTGGAGCTAGAATTGAAACCCAGATGCTTAACCACTACTTCATGCTAACCAAATTAAAGTTATTGCAAGTTTGATCAAATTGTGAAGGATGCTATAGTTAAGATGAGAAATCTGACTGAGTTTTCTGAAGGAGGTGAAAATTGGGCACTGTTATTTATATAGTGTACCTCAAGACAGTTGGAGGTACACCGTTTCCAAAAGACAGTATTTCCTAAATTGTGTTCCAGGGAGCACTAGTCCTGTGAGATGCTTCAATAAAAAAAGGTTTCTGTGGCCAAAAATACTCTTGGAATTCATTTAAGGACTCTAAAATGTCCTGCAGTGAAGGAACTTGTTTAACCTAACTTTTTTTGAACTCACAGCATTCTTAAACTTCTCTGATTACAGCCGACATTAGTCAATGCTTAGCTTTACCATATGAGTAAATACTTACACATGAGTCAATACTTACCTTTACCATAAGCAGTGTACACTTATGTTTTTTATTTTATTTTTTACTAGTCTAGCCTTTCATTAAAAAAAAAATTCTGGTCAAGACCCATTACATTGATTTTTTGACTCATGAATGAGTCACAGTCTACAGTTTTACTGCACTAGACCGTGGGGTCCTATTTTTTTGTGCTGTGCTTATTAATGGAACACACTTTGGGAAATTGTGTTAGAGCTATAGTTGAAAGAAGTCATCGATTCAATGGTAAATGTCTTTGTTGATGGATTATGTTCTTTTATCAGTCCTGGTAACAGTTGAATGAGAACAGTGGTGGGGATTGTGTGTGTGTGTGTGTGTGTGTGTGTGTATGTGTGTGTGTGTGGTTTTTTTTTTTGAGACAGGGTCTGGCTCTGTTGCCCAGGCTGTAGTACAGTGGCGTGATCTTGGCTCACTGCAGCCTCCACCTCCTGGGCTCAAGTGATCCCTCACCTCAGCCTCCTGAATAGTTGGGACTACAGGAGCACACTACCGCAACTGGATACTTTTTGATTTTGTTTTTTGGTAGAGATGGGGTTTCACCATGTTGCTGAGTCTGGTCTTGAGGTCTTGAGCTCCTGAGCTCGAGCAATTGCACTGCCTCGGCCTCCCAAAGTCCTGGGATTGCAGGCATTAGCCACCACGCCTGGCTGAGAACAGTGTTTTTTTAATTGGGAAATTATTCTTTACAATCAGTTTAGGCCACTAGTGAAGGAAGAACATATAACAATTTTGTAGATTAGAATTTTCCAAAGTATGTTCTTTGGAATACATGTTCCCCAGAATATTAGCTTGTCTTATGAATTATGAAAAAAAGTGTTTCAAGATCAAGGTAAACTTGGGAAATACGGATTAAAGTTAAACAGGCTCCAACAAAGCTAATGGGACTGCTTATCTCTGAAATGGGGAGTTAGTGTATGGGATTTCCCAGATTTATTTGACTGTGGAACCTGTTTTTAGAAATGTATCTTGTGGGCCTTGTGCCCCTTAGAACATACTTTGGGAAATAATCATGTAGATAATTAAGGCAGAAATGTTTTTGTTGTAATGTACATTTAGGTGAAAATTTTTATTGTAAATTATTGATGTCATTTTCCTAATTCGTTTATTTGCTAATATTGACATGACAGAGAAACACATCAGGAAGTCATTCAGCTTTCTTAATTTCCTGATGACCCATGGAAATTTTCTGTTAGTAACAAGAAAAACCTGTATGAGATTTTCTGGCACTGATTAATTTCATATAAAACTAAAACTTATTTTCAGTTAAGTTCAATGAGCAGTACATTTCTAGCTGTGTTGGATTCAACTTTATTAAGCTATTTTGGCAATTCTTGTTTCATATTTGAAAAAAATTGGAGTTTAGTTTAGTTAAAAGTTGTGTTTTATAAAATCCTTAAAGGATTTTGCTACATTTTATTTATAAGGTGGCTCAAATTAGTGTTTATGTACCTGTTCCAAAGGTCTCTGGTATGTTGCCTTAGATTGGTTGAATTTATAGTACATTTAGTAGCTTATTTTATGTTATAGTTTCATAATGATCTTTACGGAGATAATATCTAATTCTCTCAATCTCTTCACACATATACAGTTCATGTTTTAACTATTTTTAAATTTCTAAAATTTATATATATAATCCTCCCTCTGTTTCTTAAAACAAGGAGAAATTTGGTAAAGATTTTAGTATGAACAGAGAATGTTTTACTCATAATAGTGTAAATATTTTAAGAAACTAAAAGTGGTTTTTGTAATTTTATATAATTTATAGCAATTTAATAAAATGTTTATCAAGTATTCACTATGCTCTCAAGGCTTTTCCTCACTTGGAGGTTAATAAGCCTTCTTCAAACATGAAACAGTTAATGAAAAAATAACATTATTTATGGGCAGTATTATAAATGGATAAATAAAGTGCAAAATTATGTGGAATAGACAATAACAGAATGGGGCAATATACAGAATAAAGTGCTAACCATATGATCTGACAATAAGTATAGTTCGGAAAAGGAGAAATTGGTGTGAATGGGATTTGTAAGAAAATCTTCAGAGGAGATGGAATTTGATCTGATTTTAAAATATGTTTAAACAGAGAATATATGGCAAGGCATTTGGTATAATAGAGCAGAATATGTGATGGTATTAGTTTAGCCTCCTTAACATAACATAAAAGACCCCCTAAGACTTGCCTGCTTCTCAAGCCTCATCTCATCTTCTCTCAGCCTTACCTGTTAGACTTCAATCTCCCTACACTACTTTTAGTTCCTCATTTAAAATGATGTTTCTTCCATCTCTGCCTTTACTTATGCTGTTTTTCCCTCTAAAATACCCTTATCTAATTTTTCATTTTACTAATGTCTTGTCTTTTAAGATTTTAAATCTTAGCCCAGAAGTCACCTTCCTCAGGCTGACTGACCTTCCCAAGCCACCCCTGATTTTCTCATGCTGGGTGTCCATCTTCACACATGATCACATTGTATTATAATTATTTTGTATATCCGTATCTCTCTACTAGAGTTCCTTGAGAAGAAGGTGTCGTATTTATTTTTTGTTGAGACAGGGTCTCATTCTGTCACACAGGCTGGAGTGTAGTGGCACGATCATAGCTAGCTGTAGCCTTGACTTCCCTGGCTCAAGTGATCCTCCCACCTCAGCCTCCTGAGTAGCTGAGACTACAGGTGTGCACCACCACACCCAGCGAATTTTTTTGTTTTTTTGTAGAGATGTGGGTCTCACTATGTTGTCTAGGCTAATCTTGAACTCTTGGCCTCAAGCGATCCTCCTGCCTTAGCCTCCCAAAGTGCTGGGATTACAGGACTGAGCCAACAACCCCAGCCTGGGTGTCTGTATTTTTAAAAAAATCACTACGTTTTGAATATAGAAGAGACTCAATAAATGTTTGTTAAATGAACGAATACATTTTTCTTTGTTTCCTTTATTTGCTTACATTAATATTGGATTTAGGTTTCTTCTTCTGGTATTTTGAAGTTTATTTAACAAGGTCAGGTTTACACTTGATTTTATAACTGATCTCTTTGGAAACTCAGTGATTTTTGTACTGTGGCCCTTTCACCTTATCCTTCACTGTAGTCGCTAAGAATGAGAGGAGTATTATTCCCTTTTTTTCCCCCTAAGGCTAAGCATTTAATCTTTATGTTTCTAAAAATCCTTCTCCATTAACTGTTTTTGGAATTATAAGTAGCCTAAAATCTCATCTCCATAGGTTAATTAGATCAGAATTTGACAGCTAGAATTGCACTAGATACTATCTTATCTAATTTGCTGTTGAAATTATAACTATTTTTGCAATGGGATAGTATGTTTAAAAGTTAACAATATAAAAATTAAACTTAGTTTAGCATTCTTATTTTAGAGATAAAGTGAATGAGGCTTGGGCACCATGACTTTGAACTCTTTGAACACTTATAGCACCCTTTTTTGTTTATCTACCATGTCTTTTGTATTATGCCTGGTGTTACTATGCCTTGAGTTAAACTAATTTGTATAAGTGCTTTGTCCATTTTTCTAGATTGTAAATACCTGGAGATTAAGATTAACTCGGCCAAGCACAGTAGCTCATGCCTGTAATCCCAGCACTTTGGGAGGCTGAGGTGGGAGGACCGCTTGAGCCCAGACTAGCCTGGGCAACATAGTGAGACCCCATCCCTACAAAAAATACAAAAATTAGCTGGGTGTTGTGGCATGTGCCTGCAGTCCCAGCTACTTGGGAGGCTGAGGTGGGAGGATCTCATGAGCTCCGGAGGTCGGGGCTGCAGTGAGCTGTGATCACACCACTGCACTCCAGCCTTCATGACAGAGCAAGACCCTGTCTCAAAAAAAAAAAAAAAAGATTTGTACCATCAAATTTGTATCATCTGTAGTTCCTTAAACAGAAAGATTTATTGAATTACATCATTGTTATTCTTTATTGTCTGTATATGAGAAGTCTAATTAATTTTTAAAAATCAGTATATGGATACTCTTCCTTTATTGCTCTTCTCTAGTCTTTCCAGCTTTGTGATATCCTTCTAAAAGTTTATCTATCACAGTTATAGGAAACACTCTGATTGTACATGCTGCCTTCTTTGATTCATGGTTTTCAAGTATCCTTCTCTTGCCTTTTCCAAAGGATATGAGTGATCTATTCAATTCAGTATAATCAATGCAACAAAAATTAATTTAGTGCCTGCCTTTTGTAAATTATTATATCTGGCAGTATGAGAATACAAAAGTGTGGAAGACTTCGCCATTGGTCAAGGAATTTGCAGTATAACGGATAAGGCAACTTTTGCTACTACAAGATAGAATCTGATGAGTGTAAGTGTAATCAGTTCCAGCTTGGCACTTGTGCTATATGGGACATAAAAGATCTTTCAGTTCTTTACTTTTGGGGGGCATACCTTAGGAAATGTAATAGTTATAATTTTATTAGATTATAAAAGGTCCTGATGGAGTTAAGGATGTTCTCAATGAATCTTGTAGCAATCCCAGATCATATAATTCATGTTTATATGTTTTTAGATCATATTTTGATTGTTCTGTATCTTTTTTACTCTACACATGCACCAGCTTGTGTATAATTAATGGGTATAATTTTTCACACAAAGATTCACTTTTTGTGACAAATGCCATCCATATTTTACATTTACATACTAAATTAATAATTATGTATGAAGGAGACAGGCTTATAGGACTAATTTGCCATTCTTTTCAAGTTATGAGAGTATTCACAAGAATAAAAGACAATATGATGAAACCAACTTATGTGATATTTAAGAAAAAAGCAACTTGAAACTTATGGTTCTTTACCAAATAATTTTTTTGGGAAAAATGTTTTTGTTACTGAAAAATCGAAAATTTTTTATAGTTGTAAATATAAAAAAGACAATTGTGTTTATATTCTTTGAATGTTTTAGCTAATGTCAAAGCCTACTGGTTGTTATTATGTGAAATGATAGTGTGAAACTGATGCTGTTATAGTATAACAATAAGGACGTGGCTCATGTATTTTATGTACACATGCATTCAACTGTAGTGACAAATGGCTTCATGC